>NC_000003.12:104008604-104311634 GCF_000001405.40 Homo sapiens
AGATAATTTTCTATATGGCAACCCAACTGACAAAACAACATTTATAAAATAGTTTATTCTCTACTGCTCTGCTGCATCATCTTTGCATGAATGAAATGTTCACGTGAGGCATTTCAGGCTCACCATTCCATCTGATGGTTCTATTTTTTTTTTCATTCCATCTGATGGTTCTATTATTTTTTTAACCTTGTATGAATACTACACTGTCATAATAACTTTTCTTTTATATTAAGTGTTGATATTCAGTAGAATAACTTTATACCTTTTTTCCCTTTCCTTTCAAAGATATACTATTCTTGGCCTTTGGGTTTCTAATAATTTAGATGTTTGCCAATTTTAATAAAAGTTATGCACACATTTGCTCGGGTGTTCCTTGATTCTATAGACCAATATTAAAGAACTGTTATCTCTCCAATGCTAAGTCTTTCAATCTATAGATGTGGCATATTTCCCTATGGGTTTAATTCTTTAAAATAAATGTCCTCAATATTTTATATTTTCAGAAGTCTTTCACATCTTATCCTTATTTATATATTTCTAGGCATTTGATCTTTTAATGCTGCTCCAAATGGATGTGTGTGTGTGTGTGTGTGTGTGTGTGTGTATGTGTGAATGTGTGTATTCTTGTTTGGTTAGAACCTAGAAATGCAATCAAGATTTTATTGATCTTATATCTTGAAATATTGTAAAACTCATTTTTTAGACCTAATGATTTTATAGGACGTTTGGATCAGCTATATATAGAATCATCTGAACTATTAATTATGGCATTTTAATCTTTATTAATACCTTTGTTGTGTTTTTCTTATTATTCCACTGGCTAGCACCGCCAATACAATATCAAGTAAAAATGATGACAATAGGCTTTCATGTTCATTCCTAATCTTAGAGGAAATGATTTCATAATTTCATCATGCAGAGTAATGTTTGCTGTAATATTATGCTATCTATAGAATAGCATTTGCCTAGCATTTCTTGAATAAGGCAATTTTTGTGTGTTGTGCATTTTATTTGTCAGTATATTTAATTTACATTTTGTTTGGATTTTGTAACTATGCTTGTGATAATAAAATAATTTTTAAATGATGTCTTCAGATTTTTTTTATCAAGGAAATACTGTCCTTAGAAAGACTGTATTGTGAGGAATACTGAATGTCTTCTCTGAAATAGTTCATGTGGGTTGGCCATTGTTTATTTCTTCTATTTGAAATTGTTACCTACTCTAATACCTTAACCTTAATTTATCTTTGTGGCTTCATTTTCAGGTCAAGATTCTGTTACATTAATATGTAACAGTTCAAATCAGAATGTCCCTTTTTTCTTCTGACATTTTTATTGTTATGTCTTTATTCTTATACGAGTTTTTACTTTTTAATTTTAAAATTTGTTGGCATTAGTTTTTTTGCAAGATTCCTTTTTGATTTTTTAAAATATCTCTAAAATCCATAGTCATATCCCTTATTCCTTATTGATATTGTCTATTTCATCTCCAGTCTTTGTCTTAGTCTCTCTCTCCCTCTCTCTTCATTCCTAGAAACTCATCAATTTTTCCCTGTCTATTAAAAAAAATAACTTTTCTTAAGCATTTCTTTTTATAAATTTGTTGCATTTTTCCTTTTGTTTATTCTCAATTCTTTTGTTGAGTTAAATTTGATCTCTTTTTTCTACTATTTTGAGATGGATTCCTACATAATCTATTTCATGGCTTTCTTGTTTTTAATACATTCATTTCAATCTAACATAACTTTAGTTGCACCCCATAATTTGAATATATTATATATTTTTGTACTATTTAGTAGAAAATATTTTCTAATTACCATTATGACTTTTTCCTTGAGCTACGGACTATTTAGAAGAAAGCATTTACATTCTTAAACATATGGTAGTTCTTAAGTTATATTTAGTTATGCCTTTCTATCTTCCATTGTTCTGTAATTAGAATAATTATGAAAGATTTAAATCTTTGAACTATGTCAACATTTGCTTACTGGAATAACATATGGTAATGTTTTATTAATGTTTCATGAGCACATAAAAAAGGTGTGTTTTCTGCAATTGTTGAAGTAGGCTACTATAGATAAAAATTGTATTGATTTTTATTCAATGTGTTCAAATATTTATATTCCCACACATTTTTGGTATAATTGCCATACCAGCTACTGAAAAAGGTATGTTAAGTCTCCCACTATAATTGTAGGTTTTTATATTTATCTATTTTTTGTCAAACTTTATCTGTCGTGATAGTATGATATTATACGAATACAGATTTAAAACTGTTTTTACTTTCTTGATTAAACAGTTTATCATAATGAAATTTCCCTCTATCTTTACTCTTTTATTTAAATTCAACTGTATCTGATATACCACTCTATCAATTTCCTTTGGTTAATGTCTTAGTTTGTTCAGGAAGCTATAATTAAATATCTTAAGACCGGGTAGTTTATAAAAAAAACAGAAATTTATTTCTTACAGTTGGAGGGTGAAAAGTCCAAGATTAAAGTGCCAGCAGCTTTGGTGTCTGGTGAAGGCTTGCCCTCTGCTTCACAGATAGCATCTTTTGCTGTACTCTTATGTGATAGAAGAGGGGATGGAACAAGTTTAAGTCTCTTTTATAAGGTCACTAATCAGCTTCATGAGAGTGGAGCTCTTATGACTTCAATTCCCAAAGACACCACCTCTTAACAATATCACATTGGGAATTAGGTCCCTGTATATGAATTTTGGAAGCACACCAACATTCAGACTATAGCAGGTAGTATTTGCAAGGTATTGGATTTTCTGTTTTTACTTTTAAATGTTATTATTTTATATTATATATTTATCTTAATAAAATAAAATTGATTCTCTTAAGTCTGATAATTAGTTTCTGTTAATTGAACCATAAATTTATATTTTATTTAATGTAATTTCTGATATTTTCAGGTTTATATAAACCATTTTAATATATTTTATTTATTCTCTTTCTTGTATATTTATCTTAAGTTTAGGACTTGACCAATTGGATCTAACAGACATCTACAGAAAATTCCACCCAGCAATTACAGAATATACATTGTTCTCAACTGCATGTGGAGCATATTCTAAGATAAAATAGTCATAAATCAAGCCTCAATAAATTCGAAAAAATGAAATCATATCATACCAAGCACAATCTTGAACCACAGTGCAATAAGAAAAGAAATCAATGCCAGGCCAGGCATGGTGGCTCATGCCTGTAATCCCAGTGCTTTGGGAGGCTGAGATGGGTGGATCACTAGGTCAAGAGATCAAGACCATCCTGGCCAACATGGTGAAATCCCATCTCTACTAAAAATACAAAAACTAGCTGGGCATGGTGGCACATGCCTATAATCCCAGCTATTCAGGAAACTGAGGCCAGAGAATCACTTGAACCTGGGAGGCGGGGGTTGTGGTGAGCCGAGATCGTGCCACTGCACTCCAGCCTGGTGACAGGGCAAGACTCCATCTCAAAAATAAATAAATAAAATCAATACCAAGCTATCTAAAAACTACACAAATACATGGAAGTTAGACAACTGACTCCTGAGTAACTCCTGGATGAACATCAAAATTAAGGCAGGAGTTTAAAAATACTTTGAAATTAATGAAGGAGAGAGGAAATTTACTAAAATTTCTTGGATACAGCCAAAGCAGTGTTAAGAGGAAAGTTTGTAGACCAGCCTAAATGACTTCATTAAGAATTTATAAAGGTCTTAAATTAACAGTGTAACTTTACACCTAAAGGAAGTAGAAAAAAGAGCAAACCAACCTCAAAGCTAGTAGAAGAAATAAAATTAGAGAAGAACTTAGTGATATCGCTATGCGCTATGCAAAAATCTGTACAAAAGATCAATAAAACCAAGAGTTTGTTCTTTGACAAAAGTAAATAAGGTTGAATAGGCCCATAGCTAGATTAGCAAAGAAAAAGAAAGATCCAAATATCTAAATAAGCACAATCAGAATCAACAAAGGTAATATTACAATTGATCCAACAGAAATACAAAAGAATCTCCGTGACTGCTGTGAACAATGTTATGCACATAATCTAGGATATTTAGAAGAAAAGGATAAATTTGTGGAAGCACAAAATCTCCCAAAATTGAATCAGGAAGAGAATGAAATCCTGAATAGACTAATATCAACTTCTAAAATTGACTCAGTGATAAAGAACCCATAAACCAACCAAAAAAAGCCCTGGACCAGATGGATTCACAGTGCTGCATTCTACTAGACTTACAAGGAAGAACTGATACCAATTATATTAAACATTTCAAAAAAACAAGTTGAGGAAGAAGGGCCTCTTCCTAATTCATCCTATGAAGTTAGCATCAGTCTGATACCAAAATCTGGCAAAGACACAATGAAAAAAGACAATTTCAGACCAATAATTCTCATGAACCTAGACACAAAAATCTGCAGCAAAATACAGGCAAAATAAATCCAGTAGCACATCAAGAAGTTAATACAACACAATCAAGTAAGCAAGTTGGCTGTATTCCTGGGATGCAAGGCTGTTTCAACATATGCAAATCAATAAATGTGATTCACTACATAAACAGGATCAAAAGCAAAAATCATACTATCATCCCAATAAATGCAGAAAACATTTCTGATACAATTTAACATATCTTTTAGATAAAAACCCTCCAAAGAGTAGGCATCGAAGGAGTATACCTAAAAATAATAAGAGCATTCTATGACAGCCAATGTCATACTGAACTGGCAAAAGCTCAAACCAGTTCTCTTGAAAACTGGAACAAGACAAGGATGTCCACTCAATTCACTTCTATTCAATATAGTACTGGAAGTCCTTGATAGAGCAATCAGGCAAGAGAAAAAATTAAAAGGCATCGAAATAGGAAAAGAAGAAGTCAAACTATCTCTTGTCGCTGCTAGGAAATACTAAAGACTCTGTGAAAGGGCTCCTAGAATAGATAAATTACTTTAGTAAAGTTTCAGAATACAAAATAAATGTACAAAAATCAGTAGCATTTCTATACACCAACAATATTCACACTGAAAGTGCAATCAGTATCACAATTTAACTTACAATAGTCTCAAAGAAAATGAAATATCTAAGAATACAGATAACAAAGGAAGAAGAAAAAGATCTCTACAAAGAAAACTACAAAATGCTGCTGAAAGAAATCAGATATGATACAAATAAATGCAAAATCATTCTATGCTAATGGATAGGAAAAATCAATATTATAAAATGGCCATAATGCCCAAGGCAATTTACAGATTCAACGCTATTCCCATCAAACTAGTGATGTCATTCTTCACAGAATTAGAAAAAGTTATTCTAAAATTCATATGGAATAAAAAATGAGGCTGGATAGCCAAAGCAATCCTAAGCAAAAAGAACAAAGCTGGAGGCATCACACTACTCAACATCAAACTATACTATAAGGCCACAGTTACTAAATCAGCATGGTACCAGAAGAGAAAGATAGACCAATGGAACAGAATAGAAAACTCAGTCATAAAGCCACACACCTACAACAATCTGATCTTTGATGAGGCCAACAAAGACAAGCAATGGTGGAAGGACTCCGTATTCAATAAACAGTGCTGGAATAACTGACTAGCCATATGCAGAAGACTGAAGCTTGACCCCTACCTTTCATCATATAAAAAATTAAATGAATTAAAGATTTAAATGTTAGACCTCAAAGTATACAAATCCTGGAAGACAACCTAGAAAATACTCTTCAACATTGGCCTTGGTAAAGAATCTTTGCCTAAGTCCCCAAAAGCAATTGCAAAAAAATAAATAAGTAAATAAATAAATACATAAATAAATAAGAAATAAATAGAGACTTAAACCAAACAGCTTCTGCACATCAAAAGAAACTGTCAACAGAACAAACGACCTACAGATATTTGAAAACTATGTATCTGAAAAAGGCCTAAAATCTAGAATCTGTAGGAAACTTTAACAAATCCACATGTGAAAAACAACCCCATTAAAAAATGGACAGAGGACATGAAGACACTTCTTAAAATGGGATATATAAGTGTCCAACAAACATAAGAAAAAATGCTCAGCTTCACTAATCATAAGAGAAATGCAATTCAAAACCACAATAAGGTACCATCTCAAACCGTCAGCATATCTATTATTAAAAAGACAAAAAATAACAGATGTTGGAGAGGCTGCAGATAAAAGGAAATGCTTATACATTTTTGATGGGCATGTAAATTAGTTCAGTCACTGTGGAAAGCAGTTTGGAGATTTATCAGAGTACTTAAAACAGAATTATCACTCAACCCAGCAATCCCATTACTGAATATATATCTAAAAGAGAATAAATAACTACCCAAAAGACACATGCATTTGCATGTTCACTGTAGCACAAACATGGAATCAACCCAGCTGCCCATCAATGGTAGATTGGATAAGGAAAATGTGGTACATATACACCATGGAATACTATGCAGCCATAAAAAGGCATAAAATCATGTCCTTTGCAAGAACATGGATGGAGCTGGAGGCCATGATCTTAAGCAAATTAACACAGGAACAGTAAATCAAATACCACATGATGTCACTTATAAGTGGGAGCTAAACACTGAGCACATATTGACATAAATATGGGGACAATAGACACTGTGGACTACTAGAGTAGTGGGAGGTGGGGAAGTGGGTTAGAAAAACTACCTATCAGGTACTGTGCTCATTACCTGGATGACAGGATCCATACTCCAAACCTCAGCAACACACAATATTCCCATGTAACAAATCTGCACATGTACTCCAAG
Organism: Homo sapiens; assembly: GCF_000001405.40. NCBI lineage: Eukaryota > Metazoa > Chordata > Mammalia > Primates > Hominidae > Homo > Homo sapiens. The sequence continues at coordinate 104,015,370 of NC_000003.12, forward strand.
TATCAAAAATAAATCTTGAAATAAAAATATATATTTTTCATTTCCATACTAGTCCTTTTATAGTTACCTCTTCTTTTAGCAGTATTTTTGTAGTTACCACAATAGATTGTATACTGTTGTCTTATCAAAGTCTAATAAAAATATTTATATCTTAATCTGAAAATTGCAAGACCTTAGATCATTACCTTTCTCTTTCTCTGAACTTATACTATCTTGCTCTCGTGTGCTTTAAGTTCTATCAGATGTCACTCTTATTGTTTTAAGCAGTTAATCCATTTAGATTTACCAAAATATTTATCTTTTATGTATTATTCATTTTTTCCTAAATGTATTGTCTGATTTTTTTCACGTATAGATCTCTCATATAAATATGTATGTTTATCAGATACAGATATATATGTGTATATGTATGTCTTATTTTACGTTTATTTTTTGAAACAATTTGCTAAAATTCTAAGCTGCAAGTTTCTTCCCTGTTAACCTTTTGAATATCATATTCAATCATGTTCATGTCTATCATTTTCCTTTGAAAAGTTGTATGTTAATATCGTCATTGAATGCATGGGGCAAATCAAACGGGGTGTTAAAACTAAATCTTCCATTTAGATATAATTACTTATACCAACTCAATTTTAAGATAAGTGTAAAGTTTTTCATTCACCTGTGACAAGTAAAAACATACACATAAACAAACACACACACGCAGACTTTTATAATACAGCAGCTCTGTGAAATGCAGATTTAAAATTAAATAGAAATAAAAATAATTTTACATACATTGCACTTTAAAATATTCTTAAGTGATTCTGTTTCTTGTTAAGATCTAGAGTGATGGTAAGGCCTGTGTTCTCATGGTAGCAAAAAGAAATAAAAATGAATGAAATAAGTATTATCCTTTTAAATCAGAAGAGTAGTGGCTTCAAGGTAGCCCAAGGTTCTGAATTCCAGAGAGGAACACATCTTCATAGGTGAACACAGAGTAGCAGCTACTTTCATAGCTGAGGAAAATAACTATTTTTCTTATAGGTAGTTCAGATAGGTAGTGGAGTATGCAGAAATTGTAGTAAAAATTTGAAATAGCCAGAGAGATTAGAGTACAAAAAGCTTCAAAAATAAAATAAAATTATTCAGTCTAAATTTCCCCCTTCCCTGAATTTGGCTGAAAAAGTAGCAGTGGCTGGAAATCAGAGAGAATTTATGAAGTCTTGATGATTTTCAGAGAGATTCATCCATAGACCCTGATACAATGTTCTATGAGAGCTCTCCAATAACATTCCAGTTCAAATATTTACAAGATTAAAAAGATCAGTCCCAGCAACTATAATGTGAGAGAACGGGATTTGTGCTATCAATGGGTAAAAGTAATCTAATGAAGGCAGCTCCTAAATGGTAAAATCTGAAGGTTTAGCTCTGCATTGTAGCTGCCACATAGAAGAGAAGGCTTAGGAGTTCCGGAATGCCTATTTTTAGAAGTCATATATTAGTTTCCTTTATACTTTCATTTTATACCCATTTCCAGGAAAAAAAGTAGAAAGTGAGAAGTATGGAAAAATGGGAAATTTGATACATAATTAGGAGAAAAAATATTCCACAGAAGCAGACCCACAGATGACCCAGATAGTGGCATTAACTTTTAGACAATGATTATAAAATATTAATTATATTTTAATTCATATTAAATATATGTTATAGCCTCAAGGAGGAAAGCAAACTGGGTGTTTTCACAACTGGGCAATGTGGTACATTTAATGCTTTTTCCCTCAGCAGTAAACTTTTTCCTCCTTACCCCATTTTCAATTATATTGCTACAGAAAAGAACAGAGTGAAGACCATTTTGGTAGGGAATAGAACATGAGATAGAAAGTTCCTTTAAAACCAGAAGAAGCAAAATTGCTTCTTTCATCACTTTTCAAGTACTGAAGGAGGACAGAAGTTGTAGTAGCGCGAGAGAGTCAGATGGGACTATGGTCCTAATCTCCAGGATTTGAAAATGTTGTACTCCAAATGTATGTGTTTGTTTGGAGGAAATACAACTGGGTTAGTGCCCTTCATCACTGGCAGATTTACCACTACTTAGCTCCATGTAGCATGAAGTGGGCACTATTGTGCAGAAAGAGTAAGGTAAGGTAATTTTACTAATTCCCCTTATTTGCAAGTGGTTAAAGTTGATCAAGAAATTCCTAAAGCTGTGAGAAGGAAGCATGGAATTCTAAGGTTAAAGGGGCCATAATGTGAAGGTCCTTTGAATCCAGAAGCAAATTTCTACGCTTCCAGGCTTCAGTAATCAATGTCATCATCTCAAAGGTTTGCTAAAACTAATCATAACTTGGCAAACATGAATTAAGGAATCAAAACTGATCAGCCATTTTGCATCAGAGAAGAGCAAGAAATTATGAAGTTCCTAACTGATTACAGTTCATCTTTCCCTGGCTTCTGTGGAGTTACATAAATCATTCTAGGTAACTAGTGCCCATGCAGAGAAGACTATGGTAGAAATATGGAAAATCTGAGACTGTTAACTTGAAGAGACCAAGATACCATTAATGGACAATTTTTTAGTTGTTTGTTTGTTTGCTTGTTTTTAAACCACCAATCCATACTTGGGAGTTATGAACAAGACCAATCCAGTTATTGGAAAACCAACAAACCAAACAAGTACACAGCAAAAATGTACCACATTATCCTTGCCTATTTGTGAAGTAGAAAATTGGTGTCAGTAACTTTATAATGTATTATTCAAACAACTGCAGCAGAATCTTATAAAATAATTTTATTTTTTAACACATGTAGGACTGCCTTTCAAGAAGTAGATAGTCTAAAAAGGACAGCTCTAAAATGGCAGTAAGTTGTTTTTGATGTTTAGCAAGTAAGACAAAAATGCAAAAAGAAAAACTATGCCTTTAATAAAATCTCTAGCTTTGTCCCAGTCTCCTAGTGTAAAATTGAGAATTGGATAAGTAGACTTCCAGTGAGTTTGTTTCCATCACATCATCAGGAGAAAGACATTCAGTGAAAAACCAAAGCAGACTCTCAGTAATGCAGGGCTCAGGGCAAGGACACATTTTACCCAGGCGTATGGATAGTACTATCTCTTCAGCAGTACAATGCTTCTATGATAATATTAATGGGCACTGGAGGGTAGAAAAATGAAGATGCTTAAAAAGAAGAATCAGTAGCATCTCAGCTAGGAATGTGAGACATATTAGACTTTTATAACACAGAGTAAAGCCAAAGGCAGAAGAATATTAATTCTGTGAGTTTGCAGCTGGGATGATTCAAGTTTATAAATGCTTCTTATTAGGCCACTGGCAATCCAAAGTTATAAAATTATGTGGCTTTAACATCAAATAGTACACTACTACTAATAACATATTTTCATAATTTCTCACCAACTTATGAGTCATCACATTTTTCATATTTCTAAGGTGAATTTATTAACATGTGAATGCTTCTCTCTCAAAAGAAAGTGAAACCTATGATAAGATACTCTTCTAACAGAAAATATGATAAACTGAATTTTATTTAATCAGTCTTGAAAAAACTGAGCCTTATCTCATCCTGCCTTGTTTTCTGCATATATTAAAAATATAATTCATTTTTTAACCTCTCAGATTACTGAGGTATAAAGAGATTCAATCATTTACTCTAGTTAACAAAGCAAACCAATGATGTGATTTTTAATCCAAAGTGAGCTTTTCTAATTTTCATAGTTATTTTACCACCAATAAAAATAATCACATTCCAGCCTGCAAGCTCTGGAGAGTCCAGCTGGTCTGAATGAGGAGATGTCCCCCATAATACAGCACAGCTGCTGTACCAAAAAGCAGCCAGGCTACTTCTTTAAGTGGGTCCCTGATCCTGTTCCTCATGACTAGCTGAGTCTTCCCAGCAGGGGTCTCCATACACTTCGTACAGGAGTGTTTGGGCCAGCAACAGGTCAGTACCCTCCTGAAATGGAGCTCCTAGAGGATGGAGCAGGGTGCCATCTTTTCTGTTCCACAGACTTCACTGGTGATACCTCCAGGTATGGGAAAAAACAAGGCAACCATGGTCTGGAAAAAACAAGTCAACCAGCAAACCACAGGAGACCTACGGAAGACTGGCCTGATTGTTAAAAGAGAAAAAAACAAACAGAAAATAACAATAATATTAACAAACAAACAAAAAACACAAAAACTCATTTAAAGGTCAGCAATCTCGAAGATCAAAGGCAGATAAGCCTACCAAGTTGAGAAAGAATCAATGCAAAAATGCTGAAAACTAAAAAAGCCAGAGTGCCTCTTCTCTTCCAAATGACTGTAACACATCTCCAGCAAGGTCGAAGGACTAGACTGAGGCAAAGATGGCAGAACTGGCAGAAGTAGGCTTCAGAAGGTGGGTAATAAGGAACTTCACTGAGCTAAAGGAGCATGTTGTAATCCAAAGCAAAGAAGCTAAGCATCATGATAAAACAATACAGGAGATGATAACCAGAATAGGCAGAATAGAGAGGAGAATAACCAACTTGATGGAATTGAAAAACACAAAATAAGAACATCAAAGGTGATCACGAGTATCAATAGCAGAATAGGCCAAGTGGAGGAATCTCAGAGCCTGAAGACTATCTTTCTGAAATAAAACAGGCAGACAATAATAGGGAATAAAGAATGAAAAGAAATAAACAAAACCTCAGAGAAATTTGGGATTATGTTTAAAAAAAAAATGAAACTGTGACTGATTGGGGCACCTGAAAAGGACAGGAAGACCAGAACCAAGTTGAAAAACATGCTTAAGGATATCATCCAGGAGACCTTCCTCAACCTATCAAGACAGACCGACATAAATTCAGGAAATCCAGAGAATCCCAGTAAGATATTCTGCAAGAAGATGAACCCTAAGACACATAATCATCAGATTCTCCAAGGTGGAAATAAAAGAAAAAATGGTAGGATCAGCCAGAGGGAAAGGCCAGGTAACCTACAAAGGGAAGCCTATTAGACTAACAGTGGACATCTTAGAAGAAACCCTACAAGCCAGAAGAGATTGGCAGCCAATATTCAGCATTCTTAAGAAAAGAATTTCTAACCAAGAAATTCATATCTGGTCAAACTAAGCTTCGTAAGAGAAGGAGAAATAAGATTCTTTTAAGATAAGCAAATGCTGAGGGAATTCACCATCACCATCCCTGCCTTGCAAGAGCTACTGAAGGGATATGGAAACAAAACCCATTATCAGCAACTACAAGAACACACTGAAGTTCACAGAGCAGTGACACTATGCAGCAGCCAAATAAACCAGTCTGCACAATAAGCAGCTAGCATCATGATGGCAGGATCAAAATTACACATAACAATACTAACCTTAAATGTAAATGGGCTAAATGCCCCAATTAAAAGACAAAATGGCAAGCTGGATAAAGAGCCAAGACTTATCAGTATGCTCTCTTCAAGAGACCCATCTCACATGTAAAGACCCACATAGGCTCAAAATAAAAAGATTGAGGAAAACTTACAAAGCAAATGGAAAACAGAAAAAAGCAGGCATCTTAATCCTAGTTTCTGACAGAATATACTTTAGACCAAAAAAAAAAAAAAAAAAAAAAAAAGACAAAGCAGAGCATTACATAACGGTGAAGTGTTCAGTTTAACAGGAAGAGCTAACTATTCTAAATATATATGCACCCAATACAGAAGCACTCCTGTTTATAAAGCAAGTTCCTAGAGACCTACAAAGAGACTTAGACTTCCATACAATAATATTGGGAGACTTTAACACCCCACTGACAATATTAGACAGATCATAAAGACAGAAAATTAACAAAGATATTCAGGACCTGAACTGAGTTCTGGATCAAGCGGACCTGATAGATATCTACAGAATTTTCCATTCAAAAACAACAGAATATATATTCTTCACATTGCCACATGGCATTTCCTCTAAAATTGATCTCACAATCAAAAGTAAAACACTCCTCAGAAAATGCAAAAGAACTGAAATCATAAAAAAACAGTCTCCCGGACCACAGGATAATCAAATTAGAACTCAAGATTAAAAAATTCACTCACAACCACACAACTACATGGAATTTGAACAACCTGCTCCTGAATGACTCCTGGGTAAATAATGAAAATCAGGCTGAAATCAAGAACTTCTCTGAAACTAATGCACACAAAGACAACATACCAGGATCTCTGTGATCCCCCTAAAGCAGTGTTAAGAGGGAAATTTATGGCACTAAATGCCCACATCCAAAAGCTAGAAAGATCTCAAATTAACAACATCACATCATAACTAAAAGAACTAGAGAGCTAAGAGAAAACAAATCCTAAAGCTAGCAGAAAACAAGAAATAGCCAAGATCAGAGTGTAACTGAAGAAGGTAGAGACACAAAAAAAACCTTCAAAAATCAATGAATCCAGGAGATTTTTTGAAAAAATTAATAAAATTGATCACTAGCTAGACTTATAAAGGAGAAAACAGAAAACAATCAAATAAACAAAATCAGAATCGACAAGGGGGATATCACAACTAACCCACCAGAAATACAAACAACCATAAGAGAATACTATAAATGCCTCTATGCACATGAACTAGAAAATCTAGAAGAAATGGATAAATTCCTGGACACATACACCCTACCAAGACTAAAACAAGAAGACATTGAATCTCTGAATAGACCAATAATGAGTTCTGAAATTAATTAAGGCAGTAATAAATAGCCTAACAACCAGAAAAAGTCCAGGACCAGAAGGATTTATGGCTGAATTCTACCAGAGTTACAAAGAAGAGCTGGTACTATTTCTACTGAAAGGATTCCAAACAATTGAAAAGGAAGGACTCCACCCTAACTTATGAGACCAGCATCATCGTAATGCAAAAACTTGGCAGAGAAACAACAACAACAAAAAACTTCAGGCCAATATCCCTGATGGACATCAATACAAAAATCCTCAATAGAATACTGGCAAACTGAATCCAGCAGCATGTAAAAAGCTTTTCCACCATGATCAAGTTTGGTTTCATCCCCAGCATGCAAGGTTGGTTCAACATACACAAACTGAAAAATTTAATTCAACATATAAACAGAACTAAAGATGAAAACCACATGATCAACTCAATAGATGTAGAAAAGACCTTCAATGAAATTCAACATCCCTTCATGTTAAAAACTCTCAATAAACTAGGTATTGAAGAAAAATACCTCAAAATATTAAGAGCCATATATGAAAAACCCACAACCAGTATCATAGTGAATGGAAAAAAGCTGAAGCATTCCCCTTGAAAAACAGCACAAGGCAAAGATGCCCTCTCTCACCACCCCTATTTAATGTAGTATTGAAAGTTCTGGCGAGTGAAATCAGGTATGAGAAAAAAATAAAATGTATTTAAATAGGAAGAGAGATAGTCAAATTATCTTTATTTGCAGATGGCATGATCCTATACTTAGAAAACCCCATTGTCTCAGCCCAAAAGCATCTTAGGCTGACAAGCAACTTAAGCAATGTCTCAGGATAAAAAATCAATGTGTAAAAATTGCTATCATTTCTATACATCAACAACAGGCAAACAGCCAAATCATGAATGAAGTTCTATTCACAACTGCTACAAAGAGAATAAAATACCTAGGAATACAGTTAACAAGAGAAATGAAGGACCTCTTCCAGGAGAAATAAAAACCACTTCTCAAAGAAATCAGAGAGGACACAAACAAATGGAAAAACAGTCCATACTCATTGATAGGAAGAATCAATATCATGAAAAGGGCCATACTGCCAAAAGAAACATATAGATTCAATGCTATTCCTATTAAATTACCATTGACATTCCTCACAGAATTAGAAAAAACTATTTTAAAATTCATGTAGAACCAAAAAAGAGCCCGCATAGCCAAGACAATCTTAAGCAAATAGAACAAAGGTGGAGGCATCATGCTACCTAACTTCAAACTATACTGCAAAGCTACAGTAACCAAAACACCATGGTACTGGTAGAAAAACAGACACATAGACCAGTGGAACAGAATAGAGAACTCAGAAATAAGACTGCACACCTACAACCATCTGATCTTCAACAAATCTGACAAAAATAAGCAATGGGGAAAGGACTCCCTATTTAATAAATGGCGCTGGGAGAACTGGCTAGCCATATGCAGAAAATTGAAACTGGACCCCTTCTTTACATCTTATACAAAAATTAACTCAACATGGAGTAAAGACTTAAATGTAAAACACAAAACTATAAAAACCCTAGAAAAAGATCTAGGCAATAACTTTCAGGACATAGGCATGGACAAAAATTTCATAATGAAAACGTCAAAAGCAATTGCAACAAAAACAAAACTTGACAAATGGGATCTAAATAAACTAAAGAACTTCTGCACAGCAAAAGAAACTTGTCAGAATGGAAAAAAAAAATGCAATGTATCCATCTGACAAAGGTCTAATATCCAGTCTACAAGGAACTTAAACAAATTTACAACAAAAAAACAAACAACTCCGTTAAAAAGTGGGCAAAGGACATGAACAGAAACTCCCTAAAAGAAGACATACATGTGGCCAACAAATATATGAAAAAATGCTCAACATCACTGATCATTAGAGAAATACAAATCAAAACCACAGTGAGATACTATCTCTCACCAGTTAGAATGCCAATTATTAACAAGTCCAAAAACAATAGAGGCTGGTGAGATTGCAGAGAAAAGGGAAACTTTTACACTGTTGGTGGGAGTGTAAATTAGTTCAACCGTTGTGGAAGACAGTGTGCCAATTCCTCAAAGATCTAGAGGCAGAAATACCATTTGACTCAGCAATCCCATTTCTGGGTATATGCCCAACGGAATATAAATCATTCTATTACAAAGATAAACGCATGCATATGTTCAATGCAGCACCACTCACAATAGCAAAGACATAGAATCAACCCAAATGCCCATCAATGATAGACAGAATAATAAAAATGTGGTCCATATATACCATGGAATACTGTGAATCCATAAAAGGAAATGAGGTCATGTCCTTTGCAGGGACACAGATGGAGCTGGGAGCCATTATCCTCGGCAAACTAATGCAGGAACAGAAAACCAAACACCACATGTTGTCACTTGTAAGTGGGAGCTGAACGATGAGAACACATGGACACATGACGGGAAAGGGGGTGGGAGTGGGAGGGAGAGCATCTGGAAGAATAACTAATGGATGCTGGCCTTAACACGTAGGTGATAGGATAATCTGTGCAGCAAACCATCATGGCACACATTTACATATGTAACAAACCTTCACATCCTGCATAGGTATCCCAGAACTTAGAATAAAACTTAAGGGAAAAATAAACCTTAAAAAAAAAGAAAAATCACTTTTTGAGTACAACATATGCTATTTGAGTGACGGGTACACTAAAAGCCCAGACATCACCAGTATACAATTCATCCATGTAACCAAAACCACTTGTATTTCTAAAGCTCTTCAAATAAAAATATTTTAAACAAAAAAATAGCAGTTATGGATTCATTTACTATGCATATCATCCCTCTTATTGGCATCAGTATGTTCAAATCACATCAAGACTGAACCCGGAGGAAATGAACAAAAGACATTTTAATAGACTTTGTATAAAATCTCTTCACTAACAATTCTATTCACCTTTATAATTTTAGGGTGCCCTATTGTCCCTGGCTTCCACATTCACATTTAAACTAATTTTGGATTAATGTATTTATAACAAAAGGTAAATTAGTTTGTGACATACTTACTGTCACACATTCTTAAAGTCAAATCTATTTTATTCTTTATAGTACAGAAAATTTGATAGTGTCAGAAGTCTAATTGACTTTTATTTATAATTGTCTTTTGTACTTGCTATTTTTTAAGATAAAGATAGAAAATATAATCAGGTTGTGATGACTTAGTAACATGTAGTACGATCAGTAAAATCAGTTAGATGCTAAAGCTTAATAAACGTTCAGAGAAAATTCCTATAGAAAATAGAAAGTAGCAAATTTAGTAAATTAACTAATCTTTGGTTTCTTGAATATCTAGGGGATTTTCTAAGGTCTTTGGTTAAAAGAGTATTCAAAGAAGAACACAGTCACACATCTTTATTAGTCATACTGATGGAAAACAAAATATTTAAAGAAATGATTACACGTTGTTGGCTGGGTGCGGTATCTCACGACTGTAATCCCAGCACTTTGGTAGGCCGATGGGGGCGAATCACTAGGTCAGTAGATCGAGACCATCTTGGCTAACACGGTGAAACTCCGTCTCTACTAAAAATACAAAAAATTAGCCAGGCGTGGTGGCGGGCGCCTGTAGTTCCAGCTACTCGGGAGGCTGAGGCAGGAGAATGGCGTGAATCCAGGAGGTGGAGGTTTGAGTGAGCCAAGATTGCGCCACTGCACTCCAGCCTGGGCGACAGAGCGAGACTCGGTGGCGGGGGCGCGGGTGGTGGGGGGAAAGAAGAAGAAGGAAGGAAGGAAGGAAGGCAGGGGGCAGGGAGGGAAGGAGGGAAGGAAAAAAGAAATTATTACACGTTGAGGCTGCTATTGTGGAGCCCAAAGCTGGAAGATTGATTGCAAATACAAAGATAAACATCAAACTAATTTTTGTCCACAGTAACTTATGGCACTGGGAAAACAAAGTCAATTGAGTTTAAAGGTGAATCTGTCACAACAGAATCTTTTCTGTATAGTTAGGTCATTTTATGTATCCAAAGATTGCAAAGTATCATATAAAATGATTTTATTTTTTAAATAATGCAAATTTTTTTCATAATTATATATTTTCAATGAAAAATTTGTTAGAAATTAGTAATGTAATTAATTACGATATCTTTTAGATTTACAGAAAAAATGTGAATATAATCATACACCCAGGTCCTCCTGTTATTAACATCTTACATTATTATAATTTGTTAGAATTAAAGGATGATAATGGTACATTTTGATTAACTAATGTCAATATTTTATCAAGATATTCTTAGTTTGTATCTAATTTCCTTCTATTTTCTGTTTCAAGATCCTATTGAAAACACAGTATTGCACTTATTCGTCATGTCTCCTTAGGAAACTCTAGGCTGTGACAGTTTTACAGACTTATCTTTGACCACCATTACAGTTTTGAAGAGTACTGGTCATGTATTCTGTAGACTGTCCCTTTAACTGTGATTTGTCTGATAGCTTTTTTTCAAGATTACACTAAAATTAAGTGTGTGTGTGTGTATATATACATGCATATATATATATATATATATATATATATATATATATATATGGAAGAAGAACCCAGAGGTAAAGTGTTTTCATCACATCACATCCAGAGACTATACTGTAAACATGACTTATCACTGTTGATGTTGATGAATCACATGGCTGAGGTGGTGCTTATCAAACTTCTTTACAGTAAATACATGATTTTTTCATACTCCCACACTTTACCCTTTGGAAGAAAGTCATTTTGCCTAGGTTACTTAAGGAGTGAGAAGTGATGCTCTACTTCCTTGAGGGTGGGACATCTACATAAGTTATTTGGAATTATTTTGCATAGGAGATGTGTGTATTTTTATTCATTTATTTATTTATACAATCATTTTTATATCAGAATAGAATCATGAATACTTATTTTGCACTTTGGGCAATAAAACAATATTACTATATCTACCTTATTGTTGAAATGTTTGCAGATTTAATTACTGAGAGTCTTACAGTTGGCTCTTATGTGAGTGTTATGTTTATTTTAGAACTTTTTCACTTTCTGGCACCAGAAGGTACTCCAGGCTCATCTTATATATTTCTACCCCAGTCCCCTAATCAGTCATTTCTCCTAGGAGCCTAGGTTTCTTTAATTAGAGAATACTGTTATAAATCGAGATCTGGGAACTAGTTGTGCACATCGTTACTGGGGTGCCATTGCTTCTAGACCCTTTCAGATGAAGTCTATGTATATACACTAACCTATGTGTATGCACATATCTCTAAAGTTTTTATACATAACCATCTACAGTTGACCCTTGAATAATGTGGGGGTTAGGAATTCTGAAAAAACCCATGCAGTTGAAAATCCACATTCAACTTTTGACTCCCCCAAATCTTAACTACTGATAACCTACTGTTTTGGAAGCCTTATGGATAGCAGTGGATTAACACATATTTTGTATGCTATATCCATTACATACATTACTCTTACAATAAAGACTAAAGGAGAAGAAGTTGTTCTTGCTGTCTCAGGGGTGGCAGGGGCAGAAGTGGAAAAGGTGGAAGGGAGGCAGAAGAGTTACACTTGGCGTAACTTTTATTTTAAAAAATCTACATGTAAGAGTTCCTTCACAGTTCAACCCTGTTGTTCAATGGTCAACCATACTTAATAGTTCAGTTCAATTGCATATGTATAAAGGTAACAGAATTGTTACCCTGTATCCTCTATGTAAAATAACTTTATCAATACAGTGCATATATACAGTTAGTCTTACTCTAGCCTTATACACTCTGCTCGTTTCTGAAGTTACTTAGGTCACAACCAATTTTCCCCATGCCCTTCAGTGAGGTTGTTTCATACATTACAGTGCTTGGTCACATATTTCATTACATCCTGAAATTCCATAGCCTCCTTAATAATGTGTTTAAGAACTTATGTGCATTAAGGATCAATTTTTATGATATAAGTTTATATAGGACTTGACAAGTGCATTGAGTCATATATTAGCTATCACCCTAAACAGTATCACTGTCCTAAAATTCACCTTTGTTACACCTATCTGACCCTTTCCCCTGTACCCCAGGAGCTCCCAGAAATCATGAGATTCTTATCACTACTATAGTTTTAACATTTTTAGAATTTCATATAGTTGGAATCATACAGTGTGTAGCCTTTTCAGACTAACATTTTTTTCACTTGGAAATGTACATTTAAGATTCATTCATCTCTTTTCATGGCTTCACATCTCATTTCTTTTTATCACTGAGTAATATCCCATTGTATGGTTGTACCACAGTTTGTTGCTCCATTTACCTTGAAAGATACCTTGCTTGCTTCCAGTTTTGGTGATTGTAAATAAAGTTACTACAAAGATTCCTTTGCAATTTTTGTGTAGACATAAAATTTTTAATCAGTTGGTTAAAAACCTAGGAGGGTAAATGTTGTACTGTAATGTAAAACTACATTTACTTTGGAACAAAACTGCCATAATCTCAAAAGGCTATCTCATTTTGCCTTCCCACCTACATCAAATAAATGTTTATGTTATCCTGCAATCTCACCAGTAACTGAATTGTCAGTATTTGGAATTTTTGCCATTCTAATAGGTATATAATGCTAGCTCGTTGGTGTTTTAATTTGCAATTCTCTAACAACAAATTATGTACAGCATCTTTTCATATTTATATTTGCCATATTATATTGTTTTGGTGAGATATCCGTTCAGGTATTTTCCCTGTTTTTAAAATTTGGCTGTTTTCTTTATATTTTGTGTACATATTTTAGATACAAGGATTTATCAAATGTGTTTTTTGCAAGTATTTTCTTCCAGTTTGTGGCTTGTCTTTTGATTCTATTGGGAGAATCTTTCACAAAGAAGAAATTTTAAATTTTCATAAAGTCCAACATCATTTCTTCTTTTATTGATCATTCTTTTATAGCTTTATCTAAAACCTCCTCATCAAACTCAGTATCACCTAAAATTTTTCTGAGTTTTCTTATAAAAGATTTATAATTTTCTGACTTGGATTTATGTTTCCTTATTAAACTTAATTTTTTTTTCTTTTTTTTTGAGATGGAATCTCACTCTGTCATCCAGGCTGGGGTTCAGGGGAGCCATCTCAGCTCACTGCAACTTCTGCTTCGCAGGTTCAAGTGATTCTCCTGCCTCAGCCTCCCAAGTAGCTGGGAGTACAGGTGAGTCTCACCATGCCCATCTAATTTTTTGTATTTTTAGTAGAGATGGAGTTTCACCGTGTTAGCCAGGATGGTCTCGATCTCCTGACCTCGTGATCTGCCTCCCTCAGCATCCCAAAGTGCTGGGATTACAGGCTTGAGCCACCACGCCTAGCCCAGTTAATTTTTATAAAGGGTAAGTTCTGTGTCATGGTTTTATCCACATGGATGTCCAAATTTTTTAGCACCATATGTTTAAACACCATCATTCCCCATGTCCCCATGGAATTGTCTTTTTCCCTTTATCAAAAACCATTTGATTTGATACATGTGGGTCTGTTTTTAGACTCTCTGTTCTATCAATCTACATGTCTGTGTCATTTTTCAGGAATATCACACTGTCTTGCTTACTACAGCTTTATAGTAAGTCTTGAAATTGGGTAATATTAGAGCTCCATCTTTGTTCTTCAGTATTTTCTTAAGTATTCTAGATTTTTTGTTTTTCCACATGAATTTTAGATTATATTTGTGAATATTAAGAAAATAGCTTGCTCAGATTTTGAATGAGATAGTATTGAATGTATTAAGTTGGAAAGAATTGACTTATTAACAACACTGAATCTTCTAACCCACATATTCCCCTCACCCCTTCTTCCACCTGACCAATGCTGGTGCTTCCCTTGTGGCTCTATGTGATGTAGCATGCCCTCTCCTCTTACAAATGTGAATAACAAACTTGCTATTCAATAGCAGTCTTTTCCTGAAGTGTGGGATTCATCTAACTTGCATTATAAAACCTACATTTAAAACATGAGTAAAGATAATTATGAACCCATCTAATAATATATCTAAAATTTTATTAGGCGATGTTGCTCAAAGTTTAAATGTTTTATAAACAAATGTATGTGTGTGTGTATGCACGTTCATATATATGTTTTTAAAACGTGTAATAGAAATTGCCTCGAAACTCTGAAAATGTGAAATAATTTACTCTTTCCTGCACTAATTGAGAGTATGTATTTCCTCACATCGTTGACACTTTAAACATGCTTTTTAAGCATGATTTTAGACATAAAATTGTGATTTTAAAAATACTGTTTAAAAATGAACAGTACTGGTTTTAAGCATGATTTGTTATAATATTTGTCAATATATTAAAGGAAAAGAAGTTTTGTTGTCAAAGTACATATTTTATCAGTTGTGGTACTTAATTTAGTAGCATTTAAAATATGTGTTTCTCTGTAAATTGCATATTTATTTAGCAAATAAATTTAAATTTAAATTTATTTAGCAAATAAATATGCAATTAGTTCTTATGTACTATTCAAGAGTTCTGGGAGGAGTTTTGGCAAGATGGCTGACTAGAGACAGCTGAGAAATGCCTTTTCAATGAAGAGGAACCAAAATATTGAGTAAACTATCAGGCTTTGAACAGATCTTTTGAGGGAAATTACTGAATGTTGATACAGAGGCAACACAGACACCACGGTTGAAAAGAGAGGAAGCTGAGAAGGCTGCTTAAAGTCACTGGGCATCAGGACTGGCCCACGGACCCAAACGAGACTTAAAGAAAGGGTGAGTGAAGGAACCCCTGGGTACCACATTTCCACTGCAGACCTCTGGGATCCCATCTGCAGGAGTTCCTATGACCTCCAAAGACCTTTGAAGTGGCAGGGGAAGCTGCCTGGGGAACAGTCAGGGACACAGCTTGAAACTGCACAGAGCCCGGAAGGTTTTGCTGTGCTGTGAAGCTGCAGGGAAATGCAGCTGTAAGTGCCTATCACATAAGGCTCTCCATCTTGCACTGAGTGGTTGTAGCTCCTGCTGTCTGCAGGGCTGAGAGACAGCAGAGCTACCACAGCCGGAGGACAAAGGTGCATTTGATCCAATTACCCCCTTGTCTGCTGGCTCCTCCCATGACTGCCTTCCTGGCCACTCCTGAAAGAGGATGCCCACAGCACAGCCTCCACTGCCCTGCCTGAGTATGTTGCTGGTAGCCTGGGAGAAGTTTATACACCAGCACAGTCAGTGCTTGACCACAAGGAGCCAGTGGACAAACCCATGGGCTTGGTCCCAATCCCAATTCCCCAGGACTTGAGAACACCACCCAGGAGAGTCAAGCTGAGACCTGTGGCCTAAGCTGAAGCTGGGGAATAGCCCCATACTCAGAGCACAGAGAAGAGGGTGGCATGGGTTCATGTGCTGGCACAGGAGCCGGGCATCCCTTCCTTTGCAAACTGGACTGGGAAGGGTGTAACCTAATAGCCAGCCACGGCTTCTTTACCAGGAAGGCCCCTGGGTTAGAAGATCTGGAATAGCTCAACAATCTGGGCACAGAAGGTGTGGGACAAGCCTAGCAGATCAGGCCTTCTCACAGGGCAGATGGAGAAAGACCCACCAGGTTGGGGGACTATGAGCTGGATGGGTCTCAGAGCCATCTGCTGTGCTAAAAGTCCCAGACCTGTGGAAAACATCCCAGTTGCATACCTGAAGTGCCACTGCCCTGTCCAGGGATCCTCTGCCCTTGACCTACCACATCACCAGAGCAGCCACAGACATACCCCATAACTTGCTCTGATTCCAGCAAGCACAGGGGACTGGTAAGTTGCCAGGGAGTCATGGAACTCTTGACACAGACTGACCCTAAGGGGAGGGGAGCACAGGCTGCCAAATTACCCCTTGGGGCCAAGGAAACATGAGCATGGCACCAATGATTGAAGTGGAAACCATCAAGGCCCAGAAATGGACTTAGAGAGGGAGTCGTCTCTTGCCCCTGCTTTTCCTCTCTAGAGGACTGCTGCAAGAGACACTAAAATACAAAAGGGTGAACTGCAGCTGAGTAGGAGCATATCTGCTGGCTCTTACCCTTAAGCACCATTAATGGACTGCAACCTAAATTACACTACCCAATAAAAATACACTGTTTCAACATATGGTGTCTGTGAAACCCACTTCAGGAACTTATCTACAACCAAGGAACCCCTACAGGGCCTTGGTCCTCTGAAAGCACCTAGATATGAAGCCAATTGACAATACATAGCATAAGCCACAGTCAAATCCTCATGGGGAAAAATAATATAAAATCAAAAAGCCCAATCCAAATGATAGCAAATTCAAAAGAAAAAGTAGCACCAGCTCCCTCAGATAGGAAGGAATCAGCACAAGAACTACAGCAATTCAAAAAGCCAGAGCACTTCCTTATCACCAAAGAATCAACTAGCTCCCTAGCAATGGATTCTAACCAGCTTGAAATGTCTGGAATGACAGGCATGCAATTCAGAATCTGGATGGCAAAGAAATTCAATGAGAGCCAAGAAAAAATTAAAATCCAATCCAATGAAGCCAGAAAAACAATCTAAGATTTGAAAGATGACATAGCTATATTAAGAAAGAACCAAACTGAATTTCTGGAATTGAAAAATTTGCTACAGGAACTTCAAAATGCATCTAGAAGCCTTAACAACAGACTGGACCAAGAAGAGAAAAGAATTTCAAAATCTGAAGACTGTTCCTTTGAATCAACCAAATCAGATAAAAACAAAGAAAAAAATTTAAATGAAAAAAATCCTTCGAGAAATATGGGATTATGTAAAGTAACCAAATCTATAAATAACGCATTGCTCAGAGAGAAGAAAAAAGAGTAAACAAATTGGAAAATATATTTGAGTATATAATCCATGATAATTTCCCCAATCTTGCTGAGAGGTCAACACACTGATTCAAAAAATTGAAAGAACTCCTGTAAGATATGATATAAGATAATACCCAAGCCATATAGTCATCAGACTTTCCAAGGTCAATGCAGAAGAAAAAATCTTAAAGGAAGCTGGAAAAAATATGGTCATATCACCTGTTAGAGGATCCCATCAGACTAA
Source organism: Homo sapiens (assembly GCF_000001405.40). NCBI lineage: Eukaryota > Metazoa > Chordata > Mammalia > Primates > Hominidae > Homo > Homo sapiens. Next base: position 104,033,089 of record NC_000003.12, read on the forward strand.
CAATGGGCTTTTTAGTAGAAACCTTATAAACCAGAAGAGATAAGGGCTCTATTCTTAGCATCATCAAAGAAAAGAAATTCCAGCCAAAAATTTCATAATGTGCCAAACTAAGCTTCATAAGTGAAGGAGAAATTAAATCTTTCCCCGATAAGCAAGCACTAAGGAAATTCTCTGCCACTAACCCAGCCTTACAAGAGATGCTTAAGGGAGTTCTAAACATGGAACAAAAGAACAATACCTGCTACCACAAAAACACACGTAAGTATATAGCCTACAGACCCTACAGAGCAACCATACAATCAAGAATACAAAGGGACCAGGTAACAACACCATGACAGTAACAAAACCATACATATCAATATTAACCTTGAATGTAAATGGTCAAAGCCCTACACATAAAAGACACAGAGTGGCAAATTGGATTAAAAAACAAGACCCATCCTTCCGCTTTCTTCAAAAAAACCATCTAACATGTAATGAAATCTTTTGGCTCAAAATAAAGGGCTGGAGAAAGATTTATCATGCAAACGGTAAAGAAAAAAGAGCAGGAGTCACTATTCTTGTGTGAGATAAGACAGACTCTAAGCCAACAACAGTAAAAATGGACAAAGAAGGGCATTACAAAGTGATAAAGGGTTTAATTCAACAAGATTTAGCTATCCTAAATTCATAGTATCCCTATGACATTGGAGCACCCAGATTCATAAAACAATTACTTCTAGACCTAGGAAAAGACTTAGCCACACAATAACCGAGGGGTATTTCAACACCCCACTTATAGCATTAGACAGATTACGAATGAAAAAAAAAAAGCTAACAAGTAATACATTCTGGACTTCAATTTGACATTTGACCAATTGGACATAATCGACTTCTACAGAACATTCCGCCCAAAAACCACAGAATATATGTCCTTTCCATCCGCACATGGAACATACTCTAAGATTAATCACATGGTTGGTCATACAGCAAGTCTCAATAAATTTTAAAAAATTGAAATCATAACAAGTATATCCTCAGACCACAGTGGAATAAAAATTGAAATTAACATCAAACCACACAATTACATGAAATATAAACAACTTGCTCCTAAATGACCTTTGAGTAAACAACCACATTAAAGCAGAAATCATTTTAAACAAATGAAAATAAAGCCACTACATTCTAAAACCCCCGAAATGCAGCTAAATCAGTGTTAAGATAAAATGTTATACTGCTAAACACCTACATTAAGACAATAGAGAGGTCTCACATTAATCTAATATCACACTTAAAAGAACTATGAAAAACAGGAGCAAACTATCTCAAACTAGCAGAAAAAAGAAGTAACTAAAATCAGAGCAGAAGTAAACAAAATTGAGACCCCATAAAACCATCCAAAGGATCAATGAAACTAAAAGTTGGTGCTCTGGAAGGGTAACAAGATTGATAAACCACTAGATAGATTAACAAAGAAAATAAGAGAGAAGATCCAAATAAGCAAAATCAAAAATGACAAAGGAGTCATTACAAGGGATCCCACGGGAATACAAAAGATCCTTAGATCCTATTATGAGCATCTCCATGCACATAAACAATCTAGAGCAAGTAGATAAATTCCGGGAAACACACAACCTCTCAAGATTGATCCAGGACAAATTGAAACCCTGAATAGACCAATAACAAGTTCTGAAATTGAATCTGTATTAGAAAAACTACCAACCAAAAAACCCTTAGACTAGGCGGATCCACATCCAAATTCTACCAGATGTAGAAAGAAGAGCTGCTACCAATCCTATGGAAAGTATTATAAAAAGTCAAGGAAAAGGGACTTCTGTCTAACTCATTCTATGAAAAGAGTATCATCCTGATACCAAAACCTAGCAAAGACACAATTAACAAAACCAAAAAAAAAAAAAAACCAACTGTAGACCAATATCTCTAAAGACCAAAGTCAGAAAAATTCTCAACAAAATAGTAAAAAACTATATCAGGTAGCACATCAAAAATTTGATTCACCATGATTAAGTAGGCTTTATTCTTGGGATGCAAGGTTGGTTCAACATACACAAATCAATAAATGTGATTCATCAAATAAACAAATTTTTTTAAGAAATATCATCTCAATAGACACAGAAAAAGTATTTTATAAAATCTAACATCCTTTCTTGACAAACGCCCTCAAAAACTAGGTGTCAAATGAGCATACCTCAAAATAATAAGAGTAGTCTATAACAAACCAACAGCCAGCATTATACTGAATGTGCAAATGCTGGAAGCATTCCTGCTAAGAACTGAAACAAGGCAAGGATGCCCATTTACATGTCTCATCATTTATCACTCACCATTTACCACTCTCATCCAATATAGTACTAGAGAAGTCCTAGCCAGAGAAATCAGACAAGAGAAAGGAATAGAAGGCATTCAAATAGGAAAAGTGGAAGTCAAATTATCTCCCTGTGCTGACAGTATGATTCTATACTTGGAAATTACTGACAGCCGCATCAAAAGGCTCCATAAATAACTTCAGTAAAACTTCAGGATACAAAATTAATGGACAAAATTCAGCAACACTTCTATGTAGGAATAACAGTCAACCCAAGAGCCAGATCAAGAATGGAATCCCATTTACAATAGCCACACACACAAACTAAAATACCTAGGAATGCATACTACCAAGAACTTGAAAGTTCTCTTCAGGGAGAACTTGAAAACACTGCTGAAAGAAATAATAGATGGCACAAACAAATGGAAGAATATTCCATGATTATGGAATGGAAGAACAGATATCTTTAAAATGTTCATACCGCCCAATGCAATTTTCACAGAATTAAAAAAAAATTCCTAAAATTCATATGGAACAAAATGAAAAAAAAAAAAACTGAATAGACAAAACAATCCTAAGCAAAAAGAACAAAGCCAGAAGCATCACATTGCCCCTATTCAAAGTATACTAGAGGGTTACCAAAATAGAATGACACTGGCAGAAAAATAGACACATAGACCTATGAAACAGAATAAAGATCTCAGAAATAAATGCACACACCTACAACCAACGGTTCTTTGACAAAGTCAACAAAAGCAAGCAATGGAAAAGGGATCCCTATTCAATAAACAGTGCTGGGAAAACTGACTAACCATATGCAGAAGAATGAAACTGGATACCTACTTCTCACTATATCCAAAATTATCTCAAGATAGATTAAATACTTAAATATAAGACCTCAAATTACTAAAAATCCTAGAACAAAACCTAGGAAATAATTTTTCTGAATATTGGCCTCAACAAATATAATACAATGAAGTCTCCCAAAGCAATTGCAGTGAAAAGAAAAATGTACACTTGGGACCGAATTAAACTCAAGAGCTTCTTTTTTTTTTTTTTTTTTTTTTTGGCGGTGGGTGGGACAGAATCTTGCTCTGTTGCCCAGGCTGGAGTGCAGTGGCGCAATCTAGGCTCACTGCAAGCTCCACCTCCCGGGTCCACACCATTCCCCTGCCTCAGCCTCCCGAGTAGCTGGGACTACAGGCGTACAGGCGCCCACCACCACACCCAGCTAATTTTTTTTTTTCGTATTTTTAGTAAAGACGGGGGGTTTCACCGTGTTAGCCAGGATGATCTCCATCTCCTGACCTCATGATCTTCCCGCCTCGGCCTCCCAAAGTGCTGGGATTAAAGGCGTGAGCCACCACGCCCGGCCACTAAAGAGCTTCTTCATTTTTTTTTTTAATTATAAGTTTTAGGGTACATGTGCACAATATGCAGGTTTGTTACATATGTATACATGTGCCATGTTGGTGTGCTGCACCCATTAACTTGTCATTTACATTAAGTGTATCTCCTAATGGTTTCCCTCCCCCCTCCCCCCACCACACAACAGGCTCTGGTGTATGATGTTCCCCTTCCTGTGTCCAAGTGTTCTCATTGTTCATTTCCCACCTATGAGTGAGAACATGCGGTGTTTGGTTTTTTGTCCTTGCAATAGGTTGCTGAGAATGATGGTTTCCAGTTTCATCCATGTCCCTACAAAGGACATGAACTCATCCTTTTTTATGGCTGCATAGTATTCTGTGGTGTATATGTGCCACGTTTTCTTAATCCAGTATATCACTGATGGACATTTGGGTTAGTTCCAAGTCTTTGCTATTGTGAATAGTGCTGCAATAAACATACATGTGCATGTGCCTTTATAGCAGCATGTTTTATAATCTTTTGGGTATATACCCAGTAACGGGATAGCTGGGTCAAATGGTATTTCTACTTCTAGATCCTTGAGGAATCGCCACACTGTCTTCCACAATGGTTGAACTAGTTTACAGTCCCACCAACAGTGTAAAACTGTTCCTATTTCTCCACATCCTCTCCAGCACCTGCTGTTTCCCGACTTTTTAATGATCGCCATTCTAACTGGTGTGAGATGGTATCTCATTGTGATTTTGATTTGCATTTCTCTGATGGCCAGTGATAATAAGCATTTTTTCATGTGTCTGTTGGCTGCATAAATGTCTTCTTTTGAGAAGTGTCTGTTCATATCCTTTGCCCACTTGTTGATGGGGTTGGTTTTTTCTTGTAAATTTGTTTGAGTTCTTTGTAGATTCTGGATATTAGCCCTTTGTCAGATGAGTAGATTCCAAAAATTTTCTTCCATTCTGTAGGTGGCCTGTTCACTCTGATGGTAGTTTCTTTTGCTGTGCAGAAGCTCTTTAGTTTAAGTAGATCCCATTTGTCAATTTTGGCTTTTGTTGCCATTGCTTTTGGTGTTTTAGACATGAAGTCCTTGCCCATGCCTATGTCCTGAATGGTAGTGCCTAGGTTTTCTTCTAGGGTTTTTATGGTCTAACATTTGAGTCTTTAATCCATCTAGAATTAATTTTTGTGTAAGGTGTAAGGAAGGGATCCAGTTTCAACTTTCTACATAGGGCCAGACAGTTTTCCCAGCACCATTTATTAAATAGGGAATCCTTTCCCCATTTCTTGTTTTTGTCAGGTTTGTTAAAGATTAGATGTTTGTAGATGTGTGGTATTATTTCTGAGTCCTCTGTTCTGTTCCATTGGTCTATATCTCTGTTTTGGTACCAGTACCGTGCTGTTTTGGTTACTGTAGCCTTGTAGTATAGTCTGAAGTCAGGTAGCATGATGCCTCCAGCTTTGTTCTTTTGCCTTAGGATTGTCTTGGCAATGCAGGCTCTTTTTAGGTTCCATATGAACTTTAAAGTAGTTTTTTCCAATTCTGTGAAGAAAGTCATTGGTAGCTTGATGGGGATGGCATTGAATCTATACATTACCTTGGGCAGTATGGCCATTTTCATGATATTGATTCTTCCTATCCATGAGCATGGAATGTTCTTCCATTTGTTTGTGTCCTCTTTTATTTCATTGAGCAGTGGTTTGTAGTTCTTCTTGAAGAGGTCCTTTACATCCCTTGTAAGTTGGATTCCTAGGTATTTTATTCTCTTTGAAGCAACTGTGAATGGAAGTTCACTCATGATTTGGTTCTCTGTCTGTAAAGAGCTTCTTAACAGCAAAAGAATCGATCAGCAGGGCATACTGACAACTTACAGAATGGGAGAAACTACTTGAAAACTATGCATCCAACACAGGACTAATTATCTAGAATCTGTAAGAAACATGAACAATTGAACAAGCAAAAACCAAATAACTCCATTAAAAAGCAGGCAAAGGACATGAACAGACTCTTCTCAACAACAACAACAAAAGACATACAAGCGGGTAACAAACATGAAAAAGTGCCCAACATCACTAATCATCAGAGAAGTGTGACACAAAATCACTATGAGATACCATCTCACACCAATCAGAATGGCTGTTATTAAACTCAAAAACAACAGAAATTGGCAAGCCTGCAGAGAAAGTGAATGCTTAGTCACTGTTGGTGGTAAAGTTTATTAGTTCAGTCCTTGTGGAAGGCAGTTTAGAAGTTTTTCAAAGGACTAAAAATAGAACTATCATTTGACTCAGGAATCCCATTACTAGGTATGTACCAAAAGAAAATTAATCATTCTCCCAATAAGTTACCTACCCTCATATGTTTATTGCAGCACTATTCACAATAGCAAAGGCATGGGAGCAACCTAGGTGCCCATTAAGAGTTAACTGGATAAAGAAAATTTCATACATACACACTATGAAATACTATGTAGCCATAAAAAATAATGAAATCATGTCCTTTTCAGCCACATGAATGGAGATGGAAACCGTTACCCAAAATGAATTAATGAAGACACAGAAAATCAAATATCACATGTTCTCTCTTATGAGAGGGAGCTAAACCCTGGATAGATATGTATATAAAAATGGCATCAATGGACACTGGGGACTTCAAAAGTAGGGAGGGAGTGGGGAGAGCAATGGCTGAAAAACTCTATTGTGTACTAGGTTCATCAATAAAAGCCAAAATCTCAGTATCACAAACTGTAACAAACCTGCACATGTACCCTCAAATCTAAAATTAAAATTTCAAAAAATAATTCTTATTGTTAAAATGTTTAACTATAGTCTAATAAATATGTAGCATGTAAATATCCTCAGATAAAAACTTTTCTTTCAATAGTGTTTATGTGGTCTGTTACAGCAAATAAGTTTTAAAATCTTATCTTCACAAATATATTATTTTCTTTATATTTTCTCTTTTAGCGCTATGATTACAGAGATCTTCAATATGGAAAACACGTGAGTTTCTAATTTTCTATAATTTCATTTTGTTTTGTATTAAAATTTTTTAATTCACTGAGAATTACCGTCCTTGGACATTGCATCTTTTGAATCAAATTTTCACTCAGGCATAGACAATTATGTAAAACAAACTAAGATAAAAATCAACAAACTAATAAACAAATCTCACATTCCACCAGGGAAAATGGGTTATGACTTCATGTCCTGCTGGTGTAGAAGATACCAAAGTATCTTGGAGGAGGCTGGTGCCTGGAAGGATTTCTATGATTAAGCATAATTGTTTTTCTCTGAATTATAAACATTATTTAAATAACTCTTTTTCTTTCTTCACAGTTGAGAATTATAATTTATCTGGGTTATCTCTGTGCTTTATCCTTTTCATTAATTTTATCTGATACATGGCGACCTCTTTGTTATTTCAGAAGAAAGCCTTTCCTTAATTTTGTCTTTTTTAAATTTTCAACAGAATCTTATGTTTGATTAATTGTATTATTTTGTTCAGATATTATAATTATCCAAAAATGGTACTCTTCAGATTCTGTTCACCATGGGCTTTGGGGTCAAGTTGACCTGCTTTTAAATCAGCCGTTTAATAACTGAACTGCCTTGAACAAATCACTTAACGTCTCACAACATTAGTATCCACATATACTTCAATTCACACTTCATAGAGTTGTGGTAAAAGTAATATGTATTTAAATTTAGTTTATAAATATATTTGAATGTTTACCATAGTACCTGGTATATTTTATTCAGTTGATAAATGGCAGTTAATATGTTTTTGGGCTTCCTTTATGCCCCAGTATATTTCTTCAGAATATTTCCCCACATTGTCTTCTTACCCATATTTTGCATGTATGTGGGTTTGGGTTCATATTTTAGGCTCCGCTAAATGTCTTCTTTGCAGAAAGAACCTTGCTGGCCATCCCATCAAATGAGGGCCCCCTCCTTTTTTCCACCTTACTCCTTCAATTTCTCATTTGGTAGCATATCACAATTTGTAGTCATTTTGTTTATTCTCAAATGCTTTTAAATGCATTTTCACCAAGAATGAAGGCATTATAATAGAATTTTTTTCAATTACTCTTTTTTCCTCCCTCCCTACCTCCCTTTTCCTCTTGTCTCTTTCTTTCCATTAGCTAATATAATGACAAGAACATAGCAGGTGTTTAATAACTATGCAAATTATTTCATCAGTAATTTTTCCATTTATTCTAAAACTTTCTTATTTTGCTGCACAGTAAATTTTGTTTTTGTCAATTCCTAACACTTTCACTCCTCTAAAGCTCTAACTTTTTACCTTGTTTTCATAACTTCTCTTATTTCAGTCTCTGACTTTCACATGGCCTCTTTCATCACTTTCATTTCCTTAAAAGGTTAAGATGATGTCAAAAGCATACCCTTTGATCCTGAGAATGTAGTATATTTTTATCATTTCTCTTCCTATAGGTTTTATATAGTATAATTATTATCCATTTTATTTATTTAACTTTTTCATAGGTTCTATGCTGCCTTTTGTGGTTATTTACTCACTTTTAAGTGAAAGCAAATGTCTCCAGGTCTGAACAAACGGCATGTTTGCAGGACTAAACTGTTTCCATGTCCCCTCACTGCTTATCTGAATGATGTTGAAGACCTCCTGTGACCTTAACCACAGAGGTATAAAATATATCATCTATCTATCTATCTATCTATCTATCTATCTATCTATCTATCTAACAGTTTAATCTTTCATAGGCTAATGGAGTCTAGGAATATAACTAGCATCAAACACATTCAGTAGAGGACACTCTTTGCCTAATTTTCTCTCTCATTATCCCAAGATCTTTCCAAATCTAGGATAACAAGTATTAAAATTTTACATTCTATATATTGTCTTTTAAACAGAAGTATTTTTTCCTATAAGAATCTTGACAAGCTCATATCATTTGACCCAGCCATCCCAATACTGGGTATATACCCAAAGGATTATAAATCATGCTGCTATAAAGACACATGCACACGTATGTTTATTGTGGCACTATTCACAATAGTACAGACTTGGAACCAACCCAAATGTCCAACAATGATAGACTGGATTAAGAAAATGTGGCACATATACTCCATGGATTACTATGCAGCCATAAAAAATGATGAGTTCATGTAGGGACATGGATGAAGCTGGAAACCATCATTCTCAGCAAACTATCGCAAGGACAAAAAACCAAACACCGCATGTTCTCACTCATAGGTGGGAACTGAACAATGAGAACACATGGACACAGGAAGGGGACACACACCGGGGCCTGTTGTGGGGTGGGGTGGGGGGAGGGATAGCATTAGGAGATATAACTAATGTTAAATGAAGAGTTAATGGGTGCAGCACACCAACATGGCACATGTATACATATGTAACAAATCTGCACGTTGTGCACATGTACCCTAAAACTTAAAGTATAATAAAAAAATAAAATAAAAAATAAAAAAAAGAATCTTGACAAGCTCAGAGCTTATATTTCTGCTGATGATAGTATTAAACAAAGCCAAAAGTTAAGAACAAACATAAAGCCTTACAAAGTTGACAAATACATCTTAGTATTTTTTCAGGTTTGTGACAGTTTCAGGGGATCTGAGCTTCCTTTAGGTGCTGTATGTACACCATGTAACCCCCTCTGACCCAATCTCCCTTTTGCTTGCACAACCCTCGGTCTTGGAGACTTATCTGTATGAATTACATAAAAGGAATCACCAGCTCTCCAATTCCTATCTGGGTTTCCAGTTGAGAGCCAAAGAAAAGTTAAAAGAGGGAAGAGTGAAACTGAAGAATTTTATTTTCCTGAGCCCTCCCTACTGTGTCACCTTGGCTCCTTCAATCTGTATTAGTGGGCTTCAACAATGGATTATATTAGTCTGTTCTCATGCTGCTAATAAAGACATACCCAAGGCTGTGTAATTTATAAAAGAAAGAGGTTTAATGGACTCACAGTTCTACATGGCTGGGGAGGGCTCAGAATCATAGTGGAGACCAAAGGGGTAGCAAAAATATGTCTTACATGGTGACAGGCAAGAGTGCTTGTGCACAGGAACTCCCATTTATAAAACCATCAGATCTCATGAGACATATTCACTTCCAGGAGAACACTATGGGGAAGTCACCCCCATAATTCTATTATCTCCACCTGGCCCCATTCTTGACATGTGGGAATTATTACAATTCAAGGTGAGATTTGGGTGGGGACACAGCCAAATCATGTCAGAACCATCTTCTGAAATCTGGTTAACAGCCTCTTTCCTTTGCTTGTTCAGACTACAGCTCATCCTGCGACTTCTGAATTCTCACTGTTTGAGTGGAGTGATTATTTTATGCATATGGTACTTGCTTAAGTTACTATAATATGCTACTGCACACCAGCTGGTAAAAATTGGGATACGGTCTGTAACCAGGGTAGAGAGGAGTACTTGCACTTCCAACTCCCCCACTCAGATACATCCTCCAATTTGGCACTTTTAGCCTGGCAAACAGCTCTGAATCTCACCCATCCTCCATCCAATCTGCAGCTAAGGATGTTCATCAAACAACTTACTATATCTCATCCTTAGCCAGAGTGGCTCTTTGCAGGCCGGCTGTCTGTTGCCAAGAACTTTACTAATTCACCGCGTTGTTGTACACACAATAGTGAGAAGCTGAAGAATTTACATTTGATGGAGGGACATAGTTAGCTTAGAGATACTTGACAAGGTATCTCCTTCTTATCTGTTTCTAAACTATCACCTGACAGGTGCAACCCTGCTCCAGATCTGTAATGAGGGCAAGGGCTTTCCTAAGGAGATTTCAGTTTGGCTGTATCTATAGTTGGCAGAAGAATGTTTCAATGACCTTCACTCCAACCCATTTCTGAGGCTATCATGGTGAAATGTCCACATAAAATATCTATTTTATGGGATAGAAAATTTAAAACTTTACTTTTTATATGTGATTTAAAATATTTGTTACATTGGTTTTCTGTTTAACACAGCCTCTACTTTAGGTAAGTGTCCATGTATAGTCAATTTTCGGAGTTATTTTGCTAGACAATTTGGGAGAAATTCAAATTTTCTCATTTAGCTGAGGTTTAGTTCCTGATTTAGGATCTTTCCTACAGAGACTTGTTTGTGCTATGAGAGGAAAAAAATATTCAGGGACAATCCCTGTCACTTGCAGGTGCTATTGCTTTTTCTGAACATAATTTTTCTTCTATTTTTCTAAAAAAAAAATTGCTTCTTAAGGATAAAGTATCTCCTAGAGTAGGATTGCTTGTATTTTCTGTATTACAAATTACACGTTAAACCTCACTGTGCTAGGTTAGAATACTCCAACTTTGATTTAGAATAGCACTTATGGATTCCTGAATTATTTCAAACCCCTATTGAGAAGCCAGAGTAAAGACCAGCTACTCATAGTTATGACTCATTTGTTGTAACTTCCATTTCCTGCAGTATCAGAATGATGATCTTTCATTGAAGCAAAAGTGGCTTCTATTGGAGGATGCAGAGTTACCATAAAATACCTTCACCACTAACCTACATACCATCAAAATGTTTGCCAACAAATTTTAGAGGTTTTAAAGGGATTTTCTATTAATATTTCACATAACACTGAAATGCTTTTACAAAGATGAGAAGTATGTGTTTGCAATTGAAAAATTATTTCAATATGACACCATTTGTATGTCTGGAAGAAATTCTTGTATGAAACATTGAGTTTCACCATGTTGTAATTTTGATTCTAGAGAAGTTTGCTATTTTTTCCCCTTTGGAATATTCAGTGAGTCCTTGAGATGGTGATTTTGGTGCTATTTTTCTCCTGTCATCTTTTCTGAATGTTCTTGAGCTTGATTGGAGACATAAGAAGAGATTAGGAAAGAGAAGAGAAGTCAGATAATCTTCTAGACAAACAGTAGTAACAAACACATACAAAGACCCCAAAAGTAAATGTTCATGTTAGATAACATGTGCTTTGGTGTGTTCACAGAAACATAATGAAATATTTCAATAACAACTGTATATAGAATTTAAGAAACTGATAGTAATTAACTAGTTTACTATTCATGTAAAAGCAATTTGCAGTATTATAGAATGCTATACACATTTTTTCTAGATTATTTATAAAGTTATACAATTAAAACTTTACTAGCTTTAACATTTATACATGTAGGTAGAAAAACAATCCCTTCAATCTCAGTTGTACTTTTCTAAAATTGTAAATGTTTGTTTTTATAATAATAAGACTTTGCAGAATATGCTAGCCAAAGTAATGAAAAAAGGTTATTTCATAAATTTGTAGGTAAAAATGTGGTGTGGGCTAACATAACAGAGAGGCCAGATTAACATCTAATATTTGAAAGACATCTATTGACGCATTGGGCAAATAATGTGTGCACAATTTCCCTCATTCAATCTCATAAGAAAACTTAAATTTACCATGTAAAAGGATGTAGCTTTCCCAGTATAACTGTATTTTTGAAATCTTGTTATTAAATACTAAAGGGGATTATCTCTTTATAAAGCTCTGATCACTGGCTGAGAACAAACTATTTTACCAAAATAATTTCTAAAATATCATTTTTATTAAATGTTTTGTATGTAATAATCAGGTAATTTGTTTCAATTCATCAACCTTCTCCATTTATCAACCTCCTCTCTACTGTTCTCTATCACTAGACTCATAGCGAGATGAAATAATGAAAGATATATTATTTTTCCAAGTGCGCTGCTTGAAAAATCACATCACTTGCTTTTGGAACTCATGCTGTTTCCCTCATGAGTTTCATTTAATATATTTTACATACATTCCTAACAGGTGTTGAAAACCCCCACTCTTTGCTTATAAAAAGACCATATTTTGCAGCAAGAAATTGGTTGTAAATGAGTTATATTTCACTTGAAGAAATACATATTTAAACTAGTAATTACAATTTATAGTGCTGTCCTTAAAAGCCTAACAGCCCCTTAGCTTTTCTATACCATTCATGCTAATTCTCAGACAGAAGTTTCCAAATGAAAATAAACGTTATAAATCTTTCAAAGTGGTCATGAAGATACATTTTGTGAAACTATAAAAGCCATTAAATTGACAATGATAATATCGTGTGCATGGGCATATCTTAAAACCATGGATCTATATTATTTAGCAACAGGAACTCAATATGCTACATAAGTAGTGAGTACTCTTCAATTATCTCCATTATTAAGAGGGAGAGACAAAGTGCCGGCAAAGTTAAGCAGCTTCTGGGAGTCTAGATGAACAGAACTCATGAATTTCCTAATTTGTCTGACTAAACTATGTTTGCTGTAAATAAAAATATAGTGTTGAAAGGAATTATTAATTATTGAGAGATTAAAGAAATTGCGAATTACTTGGTGTACATAGAATCTCCAGGCTGGATATTTATGGCGCCTTAATTTTAGTCTCAGCCAGTCATATTTCATTATACTATAATGCTACCACCATATTTTATTGCCCCCAAACCTCAATTTTAATGCATATCATATAATTAATCTTATAATTAAAAAGTTATATTCCACCAATCCTTGCTGTACCAAAAATTATTTCCAGTTCCTCCTTTCTCCTACATCATACTTCCCTGGTGAAATTCTCATAATGACTTGATTTGTCCAATAGTATTTACAACATTATTATATGACTAGGATGACTCTTAGGTAATTACCTAGCTCTTTGATCTAGAACATTACATATATACACACACACACACACACATATATATGTATATATATGTGTATATACGTATATATGTGTATATATGTATGTATATGTGTATATATGTATATATGTGTATATATATGTATGTATATATGTAGTGTTCTAGATCAAATATCGAATACATATATATATGTATATATATGTAGTGTTCTATAGCGTTCTATGCACAGTTAAGGAAACTAACTCATACATACATGAGGTGCACACTTCAGGCTCACATTCATTATTATATAATTTAGTTGTCTGAATTATTTTCTCCCTTCTGTGTGAAGCCGTATTAACCCTGTAGTTTCCCAGTCAAAAAAGGAAAAGCAACATTACTCTGTATTGCAAACTCAGATGCTTCTTTCATCACTTTCACAAAGGGGCCAAGTTTTTACTCAACTGACAAGGTTATTTGTATTTGAAAATATAATATATCGAATTAAAAAATTCCAGTGACATAGGTTTACTTCTGAAATATAGTTAGTTCCAGTCAAACCAATTGAACTAACAATGGGAAAGGAAAAGAGGGTTTCTTAAGGAGACGCTGGGCAAGGTAAAAGCGTATATTCCACACTGTGTTTTGGAAACTTAAAAAGAGAAAAGAAAGTCATATTTTGCTGTATGTCCACAATTATAGACTAGCACCATTATAATATTCTAGGAAATATGTGCTATAGAAAGATGAGCCAAATTCCCCACTGTAGAGAACATTTTATTTCTCTAAAAATAATCCAAATCCACTATTATGGCAAGGTGCTTCCTGATGGGATTTTACTGTAATAATAATTTTAAGTTTTATTTTAAGTTTTATTCCTAGAGCATAAAAGAAATAATAGAAATATACTCATTTACAGGCACTAATAGATTTTCTAGTGAATACATCAAAATTTTTATTGTTGTTAGTAAAACAGCACTTACTTTAAGAAAAAGGCATTCATTGCCTTATACAGTTTCACCAATCCCTATGCTCTACAATTTGAATTTCTTTCTGTAAAACTCAGATAATTTAAAAGAACATTTCAGAATAACAATAATTACCATACATTCATCCTTAGAGCCTTCTACATTTTGTAAATATAATTTTATTCCAGGCTTTTCTTTTTCTTTTTGAAAATTGAAGCTTAGCTTATTGATGGGTAAGCAAAAATCCTGAGCAAATATTTGGCCAGGATAATTGGCTTCAGGGAATTGTTTTATATTTTACTGATACTCCAACGAGTTTACCTTGTGCTGTAGCTGCAAAATAGTTTAACATATAATAATTCGTGATAAAGAGTATGTGCTGCCTGCTGGTTAACTAATCAATGACAAAATTATATAACATACCTCCTAAGAGGCATGCATACTTTCTGAGTTTCAGTATAGGTCAATTCATCCAATAAACAGAGAAAGAGGGGGAGGGACGCAGATAGCCTACTAGAAGCAGCAGCAATGGGAGGCTCCCACCAAAAAGATCCAAAACAGCGTATGAATCCTGCACTGGCAACCAAGGTATCCAGGTTCTGTCATTAGGACTGACTAGGCAGCCGGCGTGACCCAAGGAGAAGAGGGAAGAGCAATATGGTATGGGAGCCCACCTGAGAGCCATGTGGGGCAAGGGAGCCCTCATCCCCACCCAGGGGTCATGGTGAGTGAGCATGCTACCCAGCCTAGGAAACTGCTTTTTCCATGGAACTGTGCAACCCATGCATCGGAAGATCCCACTCAGGAGCCAGTGCTCATCAGGGCCTTGGGTCCCCACTATGGAGCCATGCAGCATGGTTAGAACTTGCCTCTAAGCCTGCTGAGTTCCTGGTGGGAGGGGCAGCCATCACCACTTCTGTGGATGCCTGCTGTGTAAGTCATCTGAGCTCCTTGGTGGAGGGGCAGCAGCCAATACTGCAGCTGCAGAGCCTCCCTGCAGAAACTCCAACTCTAGTCAACGGCTCATAAACAGAACTCTGATCTCCCTGGGACTGAGTACCTAGGGGAATGGGTGGCCATAGTCTCCACAGACCAGCAGACTTAGTCTTTCCTCCTGCTAGCTCTGAGGAATCTGGCTTTCCCCCCAGTGCAGCACACCACCTCTACCAAGGGACAGCCAAAGTGCCTCATTAAATGGGTCCAGCTTCCTGTGCCACCCAACTGGGTGAGTCCCACCAACAGGGGTTCTCAGACATCCTATAGAGAAACATTCCTACTGGTATCACATTGGTGCCCCCTCAAGGCCAGAGATCCCAGAGGAAGGAACAGGTACCCCTCTTTGCTGTTCTCTAGCCTACTTGAGTGACATCTCCAGGCATGGGTGCAAACCAGATGAATAGGGCCTGAAGCAAACCCCCAGCAAACTTCAGCAGCCCTACAGAAGGACCTGACTATTGAAAGAAAAACAAATGAACAAATAAATAAACAGAAAGCAACAACAACAGCATCAACAAAAAATTTCCCCACAAAAACTTCATCCAAGGGTCAGCAGCCTCAAAGACTGAGAGTAGACAAACTCACGAAGATGGGAAAGAATCAATGTAAAAACGTTGAAAACCCAAAAGGCCAGAGTGCATTTTCTCCTCCAAATGATCACAGCACCTCTCCAGCAAGGACGCAGAAGGGGATGGAGGATGAGATGAACGAATAGATAGAAGTAGGCCTTAGATAGTGGGTAATAACAAACTCCTCTGAGCTAAAGGAGCATGTTCTAACCCAGTGCAAAGGAGTTAAGAACCTTGATAAAAGGCTAGAGGAGCTGCTAACTAGAATAAACTATTTAGAGAGGAACATAAATGACCTGATGGAGCTGACAAATGCAGCACAAGAACTTCCTGAAGCATACACAAGTATCAATAGCCGAAATGATCAAGTGGAAGAAATAATATCAGAGATGGAAGACCATCTTGCTGAAATAAGGCAGGCAGACAAGATTGGAGAAAAAAGAGTAAAACAGAATGAACAAAACCTCCAAGTAATATGGGACTATGTAAAAAGACTGAACCTATGACTGATTGGAGTACCTGAAAGAGATGGGGAGAATAGAAACAAGTTAGAAAACACACCTCAGAATATTATGCAGGAGAACTTCCACAACCTAGCGAGACAAGCATTAATATTAAATCAATAATTTAATTAATTGAATATTAATTCAAATTCAGGAAATACAGAAAACACCATTAAGATACACCACAAGAAGATCAACCGAAAGACACATGATCATCAGATTCTCCAAGGTCAAAATGAAGGAGAAAATGTTAAGGGCAGCCAGAAAGAAAGGCCAGGTTACCTACAAAGAGAAGCCCAACAGACTAACAGCAGATCTCTAAGCAGAAACCTTACAAGCCAGAAGAAAGTGGCCAATTCACCATTCTTAAAGAAAAGAATTTTTAACTCAGAATTTCATATCCGGCCAAACTAAGCTTCATAAGCAAAAGAGAAATAAAATATTTTTCAGAAAAAAAAATACAATGGGAATTCATCACTACCAGGCCTGCCTTTCTAGAAGAAATGGATAAATTCCTGGACACATACATTCTCCCAACACTAAACCAGGAAGAAGTTGAAGCCCTGGATAGACCAATAACAAATTCTGAAATTGAGGGAGTAATAAATAGCCTACGAACCAAAAAAAAAAAGCCCACTACCAAATGGATTCACAGCTGAATTCTACCAGAACTACAAAGAGGAGCTGGTACCATGCCTTCAGAAACTATTCCAAATAATTGAGAATGGCACTACTCCTCCCTAACTCATTTTATGAGGCCAGCATCATGCTGACACCAAAACCTGGCAGAGACACAATAAAAAGAATTTCAGGCCAATATCCCTGATAAACATTGATGAGAAAATCTTCAATAAAATACTGGCAAACCAAATCCAGCAGCACATCGAAGAGCTTTTCCACCATGATCAAGTCAGCTTCATCCCTACAATGCAATGCTGGTTCAACATCCACAAATCAATAAACATAATCCATCACATAAACAGAACCAATGACAAAAACGACATGATTATCTCAATAGATGCAGAAAAGATCTTCAATAAAATTCAACGTCTCTTCATGTTAAAAACTCTCAATAAACTAGGTATTGATGGAACATACTCAAAATAATAAGCATTATTTGTGACAACCCACAGTCAATATACTGAATGGGCAAAAGCAGAAAGCATTCCCTTTGAAAACCAGCACAGGAAAAGGATACCCTCTCTTACCACACCACTCATATGCAACATAGTATTGAAAGTTCTGGCCAGGAAAAGCAGTGAAGAGAAAGAAATAAAGTGTATTTAAATAGGAAGAGGGGAAGTCAAGTTGTCTCTTTTTGCACATGATGTGATCCTGTATTTAGAAAACCCCATTGTCTCAGCCCCAAAATTCCTTAACCTGATAAGAAACTTCAGCAAAGTCTCAGGATACAAAATCGATGTGCAAAAATCACAAGAATTCCCATACACCAACAATAGACAAGCAGAGAGCCAAATCATGAATGACCTCCCAATTCACAATTGCTACAAAGAGAATAAAATACCTAGGAATACAGCTAACAAGGGACATGAAGGACCTTTTCAAGGAGAACTACAAACCACTGCTCAAGGAAATGAGAGAGGGCAGACATAAACGGAAGAACATTCCATTCTCATGGATAGGGAGAATCAATATCATGAAAATGGCCATACTGCCCAAAGTAATTTATACATTCAATTCTATTCCCATGAAACTACCATTGACATTATTAACAGAAAAAAACTACTTTAAGATTCATATGGAACCAAAAAAGAGCCCACATAGCCAAGATAATCCTAAGCAAAAAGAACAAAGCTGGAGGCATCACACTACCTGACTTCAAACTATACTATGAGGCTACAGTAACTAAAACAGCATGGTACTGGGACCAAAACAGACATATAGATCAATAGAACATAATAGAGACCTTAGAATTAAAATCACATATCTACAACCATCTGATTTTCAACAAACCTGACAAAAACAAGCATGGAGAAAGGATTCCTTATTTAATAAATGGTGCTTGGAAAACTGGCTAGCCATATGCAGTAAGCCGAAATGGGACCCCTTCCTTACACCTTATATACAAATTAACTCAAAATAGATTAAAACCCAAAGCCATAAAAATCCTAGAAGAAAACCTAGGCAATACCATTCAGGACATAGACATGGGCAAAGATTTTAGGGTGAAATCATCAAAAGCAATTGCAATGAAAGCAAAAATTGGAAAATGGGATCTAGTTAAACTAAAGAGCTTCTGCAATAGGAAAAGAAACTATCATCAAAGTGAAGAGGTGACCTGCAGAATGGGAGAATATTTTCACAATCTACCCATCTAACAAAGGCCTAATATCCGGAATCTACAAGGATCCTAAACAAATTTACAAGAAAGAAACAAATAACCCCATTGAAAAATGGGCAAAGGATATGAACAGACACTTCTGAAAAGAAGGCATTTATGTGGCCAACAAACATATGAAAAAAAGCTCAACATCTTTTTTTAGAGATCATTAGAAAAATGCCAGTCAAAACCACAATGAGATACCATGTCACACCAGTCAGGTGCCGATTATTAAAAAGTCAAGAAATAACAGATGCTCACGAGGCTGTGGAGAAATAGGAACACTATTACATTGTTGGTGAGAATGCAAATTAGTTCAACCATTTTGGAAGACAGTGTGGTGATTCCTCAAGGATCTAGAACCAGAAATACCATATGACCCAGCAAATCCATTACTGAGAATATACCCAAAGGAATATAAATTATTCAGTTCTAAAGATACCTTCGCCTGTATGTTTCTTGCAGCAATATTCCCAATAGCAAAGAGATGGAACCAACCCAAATGCCCATCAGTGATAGACTGGATAAAGGAAATGTGGCACATATACACCATGGAATACTATGCAGCCACAGAAATGAATGAGATCATGTCATTTGCAGGGACATGGATGAAGCTGGAAGCCATCATTCTCAGAAAACTAACACAGGAACAGAAGACCAAACACCACGTGTTCTCATTCATAAGTGGGAGATGAACAATGAGAGCATATGGACACAGGGAGAGGAACAACAGACACTGTGGCCTGTTGGGGGTCGAGGGAGCAAGGGAAGGGAGAACATCAGGACAAACAGCTAATGCATATGGGGCTTAAAATCTAGGTGATGGGTTGATAGGTGCAGCAAACTACCATGGCACATCTACACCTATGTAGCAAAACTGCGTGTTCTGCACATGTATCCTGGAACTTAAAAAAGTAAAAAAGAAAAAAAAATAGAGAAAGAAACAAAATAAGTTAGGTTACTTTTCTTGTTTTACTTTTACAGGTTGTTACATAAATTGGCAAAGATGGCTCCTGTGTATTGACCTAAAATGGCTTCATGTTGTGTACTTGTTTACAGCAGCCCAAAGTTTACCAGTACTAAACTCAAACTCTTAAACACCAAATTATTTAAAATATAGTCCAAAGAAGCATATTTTTAGTCTGTTAGAGCCTATTTGTACACTCTTCAAAACTGCACCTCATGAATAAGAGTTAGGGAAGGAAGTGGAGCAATACTGTCAAATAGAACCTTCCAGCAATCATCCTCACCCCCACAGGAACACCTAATTGAGCAAATATCCACACAAGAACGTACCTTCATAAGAACCACCAATTAGGTTAGTAATCACAGTACCTGGTTTCAACATTATATCAAGGACAGAGGCGTTGAAGAGGAAAAGAAAGACAGTCTTAAATTGCCAACGCCACCCCTCCTCCATCCTCCTGCAGGTTCAGTGGCTGCAGGGTGTGGAGAGAGAACATGTACATATGGGGAAGTGAAAGCCCAGTAGTTGTGGGACATTACATTGGAACTCAGTGGTTCCCTATTACTGTGGAAAACAACACGGGGCAGAATTCAGCTGGTTCCCATGGAGGGAGCATTTGGACCAGCCCTAGCCAGAAAAGAAGTGTTCATCCCAGCAGTTGGGACTTGAGTCCTGGTAAGCCCCACCACCATGGGTTAAAGCACTCTGAGGTCACAAGAAAACCTGAAAGGCAGTCTAGGACACAAGGACTGCAATTCCTGGGCAATTCCTGCAATTCCTGGTGCTGTACTGGGCTAGCATTGGACAAATCATCCAGATGGAAACAAAGAAACATTGGACTTAATCTGCACTACAGACCAAATGGACCCAGTAGAAAATTAAAGAACATTTTATACAGCAACTGCAAAATACACATTTTCTTCTCAGCTCATGGATCATTCCCAAGGATAGACCATATGTTAGGCCACAAAACATGTTTTAAAAAATTCAAAAAAATTGAAATCATATCAAGTATATTATCTGCCCACAATGGAATAAAACTAGAAATCAATAATAAGAGGACCTTTGAAAGCTATACAAATACATGGAAATTAAACAATATGCTTCTGAGTGTTCAGAGTGTCAATGAAGAAATTAAGAAGAAAGCTGTAACATTTTGAAACAAACGAAAATGGAAACACATGACATCAAAACTTATGGAATGCAGAAAAAGCAGTACCCAGAGGAAAGTTTAAAACAATAAGCACCTACCTCAAAAAAGGAGAAAAACTTCAAATAAACAACTTTAACAATGCATATTAAAGAATTAGAAAAGCAAGAACAAACCAAATCCCAAACTAGTAGAAGAAAATAAATTATAAAGATCATAACAGAGGTAAATAAAATTGAAATGAAGAAAAAAATACAAAAATGAAACCAAAAGTTTGTTTTTTGACAAGATAAACAAAATCCACAAACCTTTAGCCAGACTAAGAAAAGAGGGAAGAACCAAATAAATAAAATCAGAGCTGAAAAAAGTCATTAAAACTGATAATGCAGAAATTCAAAGAATTATTAGAGACTACCGTGAGCAATTATATGCCAACAAATTGAAAAAGCTAGAAGAAATGAATAAATTCCTAGACACAACCTACTAAGATTTAACCATTAAGAAATCTAAAACCTGAGCAGACCTATAAAAGATAATGAGGTCAAAAATGCAATGAAAAGTCTCCCAGCATAGGAAACCTGGGACTTAACAGCTTCACTGCTGAAATTTACCAAACATTTCAAGAAGAATGAATACCATTCCTACTTAAACTATGGAAGTAATAATTACTTCCAGACTCACTCTACAAGGTCATTATTATCCTGATACCAAAACCATAAAAAGACACATCATTAAAAAAAAAAAAAACTATAGGCCAATAACTCTGATGAACATTAATGCAAGCATTCTCAACAAAATATTAGTTTGGTGCAAAAGTATTTACAGTTTTTGCAATTAAAAGCAATGGCAAAACAGCAATTAATTTTGCATCAACCTAATACTAGCAAACCAAATGAACAACACATGAAAAGATCATTCATTACAACCAAGTGGGATTTATCCCAAGGATGCATAGATGGTTCAGCATATGCAAATCAATCAATGTGGTCCATCATATCAACAGAATGAAGGACAAAATCCACATGACTATTTTGATTGGTACAGGAAAAGCATTTGATAAAATTCAATATTCCTTCATAATATAACTGTAAAAATACTGGATATAGAAGGAACACTTCATCTCAATAAAAGCCATATATGACAGACCCACAGCTACTATTATACCGAATAGGGAAAAAACTGAAAGTCTTTCCTCTAAGATCTGAAACAAGACAAGGATGCCCACTTTCATCACTACTATTCAATATAGTAATGGATGTCTTAGCTAGAGCAGTCAGACAAGAGAAAGAAATAAAGGACATCCAAATTGGAAAGAAATAAATCAAATTATGCTGTTTTGCAGGTGATATAATCTTATATTTGAAAAAAAACTAAAGACTGCTCCAAAAAATGATTAGAACTGACTAAAAATTAAGTTGCAGAATATAAAATCAATGTACACAAATCAGTAGCATTTCTATGTGCCAATAGTAACAATTTGAAAAAGAAATCAAGGAATAATCTCATATACAATGGCTATAATTAAAATTAAATACCTAGGAATAGACTTAACCAAAGAAGTGAAAGATGTCTACAATGACATCTATAAAACATTGATGTAAGAAATTGAAGGGGACACAAAAAATGAGAAGCTATTCCATCTTCATAGATTGGAAGAATCAATATTGTTAAAATGTCTGTATCACCCAAAGCATTCTGCAGTTTCAATACAATGCCTATCAAAATAACAATAACATTCTTCACAGAAATAAAACAAATAATACTAAAATGTATATGGACTACAAAAACCATTCTTAGCAAAAAGAACAAAACTGGAGGAATTGCATTGCCTGACTCCAAATTATACTACACAGCATGGTAGTATAACCAAAACAGCATGGTACTCACATAAAAACAGACATGTAAACCAACAGAACAGAATAGAGAAATTAGAAATAAATACATACATCTACAATGGCTCATTTTCAAGAAAAGTTCCAAAAACATACACTGGGGAAAAGATTCTTTTCTATAAATGATACTGGGAAAACTGGATATCTATAGGTACAAGAATAAAACTTGACCCCATCTCTCACCATATTTTAAAAACCCAAAATGGATTACAGACTTAAGTCTAAGACCTCAAACTATGAAACTACTGAAAGAAAACATTGGGGAGACTCTCCAGGATACTAGACTGGGCAAAGATTGCTTAAGTAATAACCCACAAGCACAGGCTACCAAAGCAAAAATTGACAAATGAAATTACATCAAGTAAAAAAGCTCTGCATAGCAAAGGATACAATCAACAAAGCGAAGAGATAACTCACGGAATGGGAGAAAATATGGGAAAATTACTTATCTGACAAGGGATTAATAACCAAAATATATAAGGGGCACAAAAAACTCTTGAGGTAAAAATCTATTAATCTGACTAAAAAATGGGCAAAATATCTGAACAGTTATTTCTTAAAAGAGACATACAAATGGAAAACAGGTATATGAAAAGGTGCTCCACATCATTGATCATCAGAGAAAAGCAAATCAAATCTACAATGAGATATCATCTCACTCCAGTTAAAATGGCTCTTACCTAAAAGACAGGCAATAACTAATGCTGGTGAGGAAGTTGGGGAAAGGGAACCCTCACACACTGTTCATGGGAATGTAAATTATTACAATCACTATGAAGAAAAGTTTGGAGATTTCTCAAAAGATGAAAAATAGAGCTACTATATTATATAGCAATCCTGCTGCTAAGTGTATATCCAATAGAAAGGAAATCAGCATATAGAAGAGACATTTGCACTCCTCTGTTTATTGCAAAACTATTCACAATAGCAAAGATTTGGAAACAAGGGTCTATTGACAAATGAATAGATAAAGAAAATGTTCCATATGCAATGGAGCACGATTCAGCCATAAAAAAAAAGTGAGATCCTGTCATTTGCAACAAAATGGATGGAACTGGAGATCATTATGTTAAGTGAAATAAACTGGGCACAGGAAGAAAAACTTCTCATGTTCTCACCTATTTGTGGGAGCTAAAAATTTAAACAACTGAACGCATGGGAATAGAAAGTAGGATGACAGTTACCAGAGGTTGAGAAGAATACTGGAGGTGGGGTGTGGTGGAGGAATGGAGGTAATGAGTACAAAAATTAGAAAACATGAATATGCTCTAGTATTTGATAGCATATCAATGTGACTATGGTCAATAATAATTTGATTGTGCATTTAAAAATAACCAAAAGAGTATAATTGGATTATTTGTAACACAAAGGATAAATGTTTCAGGTGATGAATATCCCATTTACCATGACGTGATTATTACATATTGTTGAATAGTCCATATTCATAAAGGATAATTTTTATATTATGCCATTACTTCTTATAGGAACATGATTATTTCTGGATCATAAAAGTAGATAATAACATATGATATTAAACAGTATGTGAAAACAATTCCAGTTATAAAAATGTAACATCCTAATTGTCTTCTATAAAATTCTTCTATTGACTAAAACAATTACCAAAGTATTTTTTTAAATATTCAGAGTTCAGAAAATAAATAGCAAAAACTTACAGCTCTTTTCAATCAACACTCAAATTTTTCTCCCATACTCTAAATTATTACAGTCAGTAATGTCCCAAATTTTTTGTACATGTTTACACACAAAGGCACAAAACGATGGAATTATACTTTTCATTATATAGTTATGTGCTTTATTTAATCAACATTATAATTGGGGCTTTACCTCATCTCTTTAGTGGTGGTATAATAAGACTATCCCATACATTTTCTAATCTTTCTCTTAACTTGGAATATTTGTTTGATTTTTTTAAGTTACCACCATTTAAACTATAAAATATAATCAGTATTTTTAAACACTTATTTTTGTGCACATATGTGAATATATCTAAAGTATAAACTCCTATAAGTGAAAGACTGAGACAAAGAAGGTATATACATTTAATAGTTACTGCCAAATTGCTTTCCAGAAGTGATGCAACCAAGCAACACTGCTGTCCAAAGAATTTGTGAGTGCCTATTTTGATTTTATTCTGGTTAAGAAAGCAGATAATTAGTCTTTAAAATTATTATAATTTGATGGATTTAAAAACTTTGCAATATTGTTTTAATTTTATTGTTTCTTATTATTAGTACTTTGTGTATCTATTTATGTATTTATTGGACATATACATTTATTCCTTGGAGAGTTACTAATTATCAGTCATTGCCCATTTTTCTATTTACTTGTCTTGTTTTTTCCAAATAAAAATAGTAATTATATAATATATGAAAGCATATGTTAATCCAATTACTATGATTTATGTTACAAACTCCTTCTTTCAGTCTATTTCTTGTTTTTAACATTATGTATATTATTATATTTTGCCTCTGTGTCTGCCATTTGTAGAAGTGATGAACACATGTCTGGGTAGGAAAACAATAGCAAAAACTTACAGCTCTTTTTAATCAACATTCAAATATTTCTCCCACACTCTGAATTATTATACTGATTAATGTCCCACAATTTTTTTTGTAAATATTTGATTTATATATGGGGGTGGAAAGGAAAAAAACAAACACTGAATGATATTAAGGGAAAAAATTTTTTTAAATGTATCCTTATTCTGTTCTTCACTTACTACACTTAGGTATTTTCTTATAAATCTGTTTTGAGTTATTCAATGGTTAATAAGAGAATTTTAAACAACTGATTCTATAATCATTTCTTGAGTTATCACAATTGCTTGGTGCCCATTGATAATTTTTCTTAGTTATCATGCTTTCAATTTTATTCATGTAATTCAATCTGGCTCAAAGCGTGGTGTATTTTTATTTTATTTTACGTAACAGTCTTCAGGTTGAATTATTTAAGAAGTCAATTATATCATCAAGAACTCGGTTTCTTTCTAATATGTTCTGCTATCTGCAGAACTAATTTTATCTTTATAGGTAGCAAATTGGTTACTTGAGTTCTAGGCTTCAGAAAGCTCACACGAAGTCCAGAGGAATAATAATGGGTTATCTTGGGGTTAAACTAATCTCACAAGGCACTCAACAATCTTCCCTTCACTACACATTGGCTGAGATTAAGTTGCGTGTTCATTCTTGAGCTAGTTAATTACTGAGAAGACTAGTTAGTTTGCACTTTAATCCAGGCTTCTGCTGGAGGTGAGAAAGTTGTCAATTTCTTCTGAGATACACAGTTTTGAGGGAAATGTTAATACATTGACAGTATTGATAGTTGATTAGGAAGCAAAATAATGGGAATGGGACATGTTGATAGCCAACATCATTATAGATTCTAATATAACATGAGGGAATAGCATACTTGCATTTTCTCTCCTTCTACTGATATTTTTTTTAATTTCTAAAACATTTTAAATGGAAACTTTTTAGACAAGGTTGCGAATTAGTTTTACCCAACTTCTCTTAATGATCACATCTTTCATAACCATAGTATAAGGAGCAAAACCAGGAAAGTAACATTAGTACGATACTGTTCACTAAACAATGAGAACTTTAGTATTGCTAGTTATATTTTGTAGTTTGTTTCCTACATATTTTAAATATGAGACATTAATTCTTTTTATTATTTTAAGAACCTCAGACTGAATCTTGATCCTTCATATGTAAAAACAAGAAATTAATGTCTTTACTCTAAAACTTACTTTTTCTACTTCAAAAGCCTCCTTCACTACCAGCTTCTGTCTGTATTACTTTAGGTTTACATGATTTATAATACACTGAACTTTACTTGTAAGTCTTTTTTTATTTTTTGTGGAAGAGAAACATTGCTACATGAGCAATGTTAATTTCAAAATTTATAACAACTCTGCAGTTGTGAGTTCCTTGGGCAACATTTAGTTAGAAATTAGATTTTAAAGAAAAAGTCAATTTTATGTGTATTAGTTAGAAAAGTTTACTCCATTCAGCTTTCCCAATTAATGATAAATAAAGTAGTTAATTAGGACAATTTGGACCAGATGTCTGTATCCTTCCTGCAGCATTATTTGTTGGTTTTCTTTCTTTTTTTTTTTCTTGGACACAATAATCTGCCTTTTACAACTACTTGCTAAATTTTCAGGTACCTCTTACTATATCTGATATCTAATAATTGGTTTTCTTTAGTATTTATTTGAGTTCACTCTTCTCTCTTTAAATCATTTTTTAGTGAGTGTTGGGTCATTTCATTCATTCTCAGGAATTCATTCATTGTCTACTTGTTGACTCCAAAAATCATTTTCACGTACATCTTTCTTCTGAGCCCCATCTTGTACATATTCAGTACTTTACATTTATTTTAAGCCTCGCATATTCAAAATTGAACTATTTATTGCTTCAATAAAAATGACTTTATTTTCCTATACCACATAAACATTTCTATCTGAATAAATTTTTGACTTCTAAATTATTTCACCTATGCAATTAAGCAAAAATTTATAAATTCTGCCAATTTTACCTCCAAAATACATACTGACTTGTTGAGTTTTCTCCATCTTAATAGGCATATGCCTAGTTCAGGCCAGAATTATCTCCCCTTCCACCAAAGCACATCTCATAATTATGTGGTGATATCCCAGTGGTCATCCTGCATAACACTCACCTCCTCTCAATATTCTCCACAGTGTAATCATCATGAATTGCTTAAAATATAAGTCAGATCCTGACTGTTGAAAAACAATTATCCATGGGTTCCTTGCATTTCTGCATGTCTTGCGAATGGAAGCAGTTATCTATATTTGCTCTAGACTATTTTTTGAAGGATGTTTGTAGAGCAAAGATATAATTTTCGAAGATAATGTATCTCGTGCTAGAACCAAGTGTAAGCATGTTTACTGTCCTTTATAATGAAGATCACATCTTTTCCTGGAGAAAGGGCAGGCTGTCCATTACAAAAGATTTATGTTCCGTAAGTTCAGAGTCCTTCTCCTGCAACAGCACCTATTCATTTCCTGTCCCAGTGTCCATCTGGGCCCATCTGTGTTGCTGATGTGGGACTTGGAAATAAGAAGAACTGGAACAAATATATAGATCCTCATGCTGCTTGCAATGCTGTGAATGACAATGGCCTTTGTCTCTGGTTCAAGAGTCTCAAGTCTTCTACCAGCATTCCTAATTCTGTCAGGCTAACTTATAATCTTGCAAGTAAAGTCAAGTCTCCAACTAGTTGTATTTCTTAATAGTCAGCCTCTCGCACATGCACGCGCATTAGTATTTTATTATAATACATTAAAGAAAATCTGGTGTCTTTGAAGAACCCGATGTTCTGCAGGATCCATATATATCATTCTCATTTGGTATAGTGCCATTCTTTGATATACTTACTACAATTTAGCCATTCCAGCCTTTCTTCAGTTTCTGAAATATGCCAAGGTTTTTCTTACTTCATGGCTTTCTCTATACCCTCTTATCCTAATATGACTCTCCTTAACCTTTAAGAATCTGTCTCCTTACTTCTCCAAAAGAAAGTCTATCTTAACCGACCTCTCACTCCTTCATCCTCACACCCATACCATTCTTCACTATCAGTTACTTGGTTTCTTTCCTCCTAGTTCTCACCACAGTGTGATATTTGACTAGTTATTTGTTTTGTCTGTTTTCCAACTAAGTTGTATGTCTAAATCTCAGCACAGAGTTGGAATACAGTAGGTTTTCATTATGTACTTGTCATACCTAATGTGGTTGTGTATATATGATTTTCTATGTCAATCTTGTGTGGGAAAAATAAACACTTATTTATACACTTAATAGATTTCGAGATATACTGGAAATCTATTATAAACTAGAAAAGAACCATTGTGTCCTAAAATCCACAACATGTAATCAATAAATTTACCTTAACTCTATATCTACGTAGTAGTTATTCTAGTGTTAAAACATGAAGTGAAAAATAAACATTTCTTTTCATTGATTGAAGTTATATCTATACGAGCACTTCACTGAAGACAAAGTAGAGAATGGACTAGAGTTTTGGAAAAATTTCGAATATAGTTGGGATCAGACAAAATAATCAACTATGTGTCTTTGGCTTTTTGAAATTGTACTTTTCTTTCTATGTGATTTAATTTCAAATTAATATTTGGGTTTGCTGAGTTTTCTAACAGTTTTGAAACTGAAAAGTCAATTGTCTCAGTTTAGAGCTATACTTAAACCAATAATTGAAACCCTTGACTTAGTCACAAATGCAACATATATTATTCAGATGGTGGTGGGAGGTGCATGTATACTTCTGCTGTAAATGGGGCTCTTAAAGATGGTCATATGACAGAGTGTGTGAAGTGCAACCTTAGAGTGGGCATCTCAGATTATCCCAGTGACAATAGCTCCTAAACTGCTAGTAAAACTGTATCTAACAGGATAAAAAACACAGGTCACTGGTAATTGCAGAAAGGGCAACTTGGCTTCTCTTGTTGACAAAGTACAGTTTTTCAAGTTAAACTGATCGATGCAAAGAATTCTGTGAGTTACATGAACAGCAATATTTCAAAAGGAGTGACAATTGCTTTAAAACTCCCATCATTGCTGCAATACCTTAAACACAGCACTTACTATCTCAGTCTTCTATGGGGCCCATTCACCCAAATGGTGATAAGTCCACTCTGGACTAAAGACTTATCTGAGTCTGAGTAGTGGCCCTGGGGCACATATTAGGGAATCTTGAACAAAGAGGTAGAAAGTGTTAATGTTATTTTGTTGTTTGTTTTAACTTAAAGGGAACTAAATATCATAAACACTTTTCAGGGCTTTATCAGGCTCTGATTTTTACAGTTTCAGGCAGAGAAAAATCTCAATGGCAGAATGCAAAAATGAGAAAGATATTACTAATAGATAAGAAAGATATATGAATACCAAAATTATATCTCAAATTATATCTCACTACAGATATGCAATTTAATCAAAGGTAGAAAGAAATGAAAACAAAGTAGAAACAAACATTTCTTTCTTTTCATATCCATTACAATTTTCTTAAGAAATCTTGAGACTTACAGAGCCAAGTGAGTAAACCAGCCAGAGGGACTGCAGTGGCAGGACCATGGTGGCACCATCAAGAGGGAGTGCGGGGTGAAACTGGCTGCGGGTACCCAGTGACTGGATGGGAGGCATTAGGTTTTGACAAGTTTGTATCAGCATGAGTATAAGCTAGTCGTTCTGGGCTCAGGAGGCATTCGAAAGTCTGCTCTGCCTTTACAATTTGTCCAAGGAAATTATGTTGAAAATTATGATCCTATGATAGAAGATTCGTACAGAAAGCAACTTGAAATAGATGCACAACAGTGTGTGCTTGAAATCTTGGATACCACAAAAACAGAAAAATCTTCAGCAATGAGGGATTTGTACATGCAAAATAAACAAGGCTTTGCATTAGTTTATTTCATCATAGCACAGTGCACATTTAATGATTTTCAACATCTAAGAGAAAAGATTCTTCAAGTTAAAAACATTGATGATGTTCCAATGATTCTGGTCGGTAATAATTGTGACTTGGAAGATGAAAGAGTTGTAGAAAAGGAACAAGGTCAAAATCTAACAAGACAGTGGGCCAACACTGCATTCTTATAATCTTCTTCAAAATTACAAGTAAATGTTAATTAGCTATTTTATTACCCAGTGCAACAAATTAACAGAAAAACTCTAGTGCCTGGAAGGCTTGGAAAAAGTCATGTCAGCTGGTTTAATATACTAAATGCCTTGTAGCTCTGAGCTAAGTCTGAAGAACTGTTGCCCGACTCAACAGTACATTCCAACTTTGTTAAACCTACCAACATCTTAGACTTTCCTATTGTGGTGTCCCTTAAGAGATGGATGAAAGCTCCTATATCAGTTCGCAAATTCTTATCATTTTTCAGTATCACAAGTTAGATTTCTACTCATATAATAGTCCTAAGTATGCAGCTGGTAAAATCAGATCTATATCAAATATTATGCTAAGAGACATTCTTCATCCACCAATGTGGTAAATGTATGAAAATGGTTTGCTGCATCCTTTAACATGTCCCATACTCTGTATTGAAGAGTACAATAAGGTAAATCCTAAAAACACCTCTACTTTAGCATAATAAAAGAAAGTCCAAAGAGCTCCTATAAAGACTACTCTAGGTAACTTTCCTTCTTTGATACTTGTAGCTTATTGTAATTTTCAAAAATAAATTCAAGGTCTTTATCATTGTATTGTCCAAAATAAGCACTTTGATTAACATAGATATAAAGTTTTATAATTTTTTTTTTAAAACTGTGGAGTCAGTAATCTTGTCTTTAAAATATGGTAGTCCCATCAGTATAATGTCTTAAAGATGTTGCCTTTCATATCTGTTGGGAAGGAAATGTTGAGACTTTTCGAATCTCTTACTATATGTTTGCTTTTTTGTTTACCTAGTGAATAATGTTTATACTTTTATGGACAGTAGGGGTCTACAACAAGAAGTATATATTTTCAAGCAATTATTTAATGATTTCACATTTTTTGTAAATCATTTCAGGCTTCTGCAGCTATAGATTCTCATTGTGAATCCCTTGTTTGCTCATGCATAAGTGTATTTGCAATACCAAATATATAGGTTTAGTATTTTTGCCTGTTAGTGATTGTATCACATATGTAATGTTTTGGTCGATATGTTAAATCAGGCTTGTTCAACTCATGGCCTATAGGCCGCATGCAGCCCAGGATGGCTTTGAATGCAGCCAAACACAAATTTGTAAATGTTCTTAAAACATTATGAGAATGTTTGTGATTTTTTTATTTATTTATTTATTTTTTTTTAGCTCGTCAGCTATTGCTAGTGTTATTGTACTTGATGTATGGCCCAAGACAATGTTTCTTTTTGCCATGTGGCCCAGGGAAACCAAAAGATTGGACATCCCTATGTCAAATGATATATAAGTACTATGGATGCGAATGTGGGAAGTAATTTTATCATGTGTAAATGATCTCAAGGACCAACCTGCGTAACTGTTGCTGCTTTATTTACAATGCCTTGTTACTTTGTATGCATTAGCTTTTCGATGTAAAGACTGTCTCTGTCTATCAGGGAGCCACCATATTTAAATTGACTAACCTAATGTTACAACTACTTTGAGGTGGCTAAATATAAACCAAAATCCTTAATTAAAGTGGTACCATGTTGTATAACTTATCATCAGTAGTTCAATAAATTTGGATTGCCACGTGAGGGTTTGGATTATTTTTTTAAAAAAAGGGAGATTTTGAGATTTATTTATCTCTTTTACCATAGGAAGGAATAACCATTGTAGACCTATTCAGAAACACATGTGTCTATGTGTGTGTGTGTATTCACTCATGTAAGTCAGTGGCAGAGACCAAAGAATGAGTGGTTGATAGAATATGAGTTGATTCAGTCATTCTTTATAATCTATGCCTAGACAAATCACAGCTGTCAAGAGCATTGGATAATTGGAAGAGCAGGAAAGGACAAACTCTTCTAGGGAAAACTTAGGAGGCTAGTTAGATATTCCTTCTCATTTTTTTCCTAGGGATAATCCTAACTGCAAAATTTAAAAACAAGATGTATATATTCCCATTTTCTATGTTAGTCTCATTAATAGAGTGGTACACTTCTCCCATAGAAAGGAAACTGTATGTTTCAATGACACTATTCTTTTAAATGGAGTGAGAATTAAGCTATTAAAAGCAATTTGGTAGATCTATTTATGTGTTTCTGCTGATTTTTTCATACCTGAGTATAGATGTAGAGGAAGCCCAACTATGGTTGCCAAATAAAATAGAGGATGATCAGTTAAATTTGAATTTCACAGAAATAGCAAAGAAATTTCAGCATAACTGTGTCCCAAATATTACATGAAATATAATAATGCTTGAAAAAATAAATGTTGTTTATCTGAAGTTTAATTTTACCTGGAATCCCTGATTTTATTGCTAAATCTTATAAGCCCAGATCTAGGGCACTAAAAGCCTACCATGATGTCATCAATTGTGCATTGAGGGAGAAGGAAATAACTTAATGTCAGAGTGATCAGGTTATATTGAACAACTTCTCAAATTTAACTTTGATGAGTCTAGCGTAGAGGGATCTACAATTGAGATTTTATAAAAATCTATTCTTGACTTACAGAAATATTATTAACCAGGTATATTTCTAATTAAGAATTTCACTTCAGTGACTATGTATAGTAACTGCCAATACATTTACAGTTCTATTTATCTATCTATAAGAACTCATACCTTTCTTGCTAACACAAAAAGTAGGAAAGTTTCCTTCACATTAACTATAGTGTTTTTTGGACTAGGTTATTTGAGCATTATAAAGAAACTTTGTAATTTAGTTGGATGATTTTACAATTTTTTAGAAAAGTGAAGAATGTATCAAGATATGATATCTTATTGAGGTTTTTTTGTCATTTCATTTGATGTTTGGAAGATGGTACTATTTGGCTCTGTTGAGCACTATGTATTCTTTCTGCTATGACTATAAACTTTAATCTCTTATGATTAGACTGAAAAGAGAGTAACAGGCTCAGGTTTATCCTTTAAGTTGTCTAGTTTAAACAACTTTTCAAAGATTTCTTTTGATGAATGTATTATTCACAAAGTAAGATAAATGTGAATGCTTAATAAATGGATTCATTGATTAATAAATCAACTAGTGAATATATTAACAGTCTGTTTTAAATCAAGGGTAGTATGAAGTGGTTACTATTTATAAATAAGGAGTATTTGTAATTCTTATCTGTAAAACTTCCATGTGCCAAGAACTCTTCTAGACATTGAAGATACAACAAAGAAAGGAACAGAAAATTATCTGCCTTTGTGGAGGCTATCTTTTAAAGTGAGTGTCAGACTATGAATAATATAGATGGATAAAATAAATAAATAAAATGCGCAGTATATCAGTGGGAGAGAAGTGCAATAAGAGAAAACATAAATCAAAGAAGGAAGATAAGGAATGCAGGGAGAAGTGAGTATTCAGTTTTAAATTGAAGAGGGAATGACTCACTGAGAAGATGACAAATGAGCTAAGACTTGCAAAGTGTGAAGCAACATTTGGGCAGAAAGAACAGTATGCGCAAATTTCCATGGTGCAAGAATGCCTGGAGTGTCCTAGGGACAAAAAAGGAGGCCAATGAGGTTAAAATAGAGTAAGTTTGATGAGAGTCTTTAAAGTCATTGGAAGAGAAAAGCATGCTGTTTATTGTACAAGGCATTAGTTGAATTATCTACATGAATATTAGAAACACCAAGAAAGATAATATCAGTGCTAATGGAGAAATACAGTCACCAAGAAACTTAAAGATCCTAGGAATACCAGAAAGTGCTTAAGGATTGTTAGATGACTTCAAGATAAAGGGTAGTGTTTTAATGATATTTTACTCAACTTCAGACCAGTTGTCTCTAAAGTATTGGTGACAAAACAACCATCATTTCGGCAAGCTGGACAGGACAGGCAATTTTTCCTTGGAAGAGGAATGTAGGAGAAATTTCTCAAAAGACATAAAATACTTAGGGGATTTGAATGGTTCTGGCAGGCAAAGTAGAAAGTTTCAAGTGCTCCAAAGAGGTGAGGGATGGAACAGACAAGGCAGTGTGGCAAGGGATTCTGGGTATGACGAAAGGATTGAAGTCTTGTATTTTCTTATGAAGATGAATGAATGATCAGAAACAGAGGCAAAGGGTGCAATGATATTTGTGCTGATAGAACCAAGGCAGATAATGATTGTGAAGCTGTTAATGTTAGGGGAATATTAGGGTATCACCAGAATCTTACAGAGTTCCAGGGCTCCTCCTGGATGTGTGCTGTGGGGATAATAAAGGCCAGCAAAGAAGTGGCCTCTGAGGCTGCCAACTGACATCTCCAGAGGTGAATCAGAACCAATAACACAGTCTCCCATGTTGAACACTTAAGTTTTTTATTTAACACTTATTGTAGAAACTAAAATTTGTGTTTCTTGGCATTCACTTTCAGGATTATGAATCTATTAACATATTATGTTATTTTTAAAAATTAATAGATACCTTAATATATCTACCTTGGAATAATACAATAGAGGAAGAGTACACCATTTTAGTTAGCCACAAGAAAGTAGATGTAAGAAATATTTCTGCATGTGTGCATGTGTCTGTGTCTGTGTGTTTGTGCATCTGCGCATATGTCTATATACAAATACATACTAATACCATTTACATTTATATGTATGTTTATTTATGGGGATATATATATATTCATATATATATATATGATACAATATGCAGAAGGGGAAAAATATACCAGAAAGCCACACAGAAAGAAATGTCTTTTCATCAAAACTTAGAACTCTGTCTATTGACTCTTTGGTTAAATCCAACCTTGATTATATTCAGAACAAATATAATTTTCAAAGATAAATTCTGGAGATTTAATTGCCACTGTTTCCTCTTACTACAATGGCTACACACAAGTTGATTATATTTTATTTTTCCCTTGTTTGAACAAACTTATCTTGAGAAGTCATTAAAACAAGCTTGATACATCATGCTAAACTGTAACATCAAGGATTTTATGCAGGTATTATTATATTTGCATAATGGATTCTCTTTAAATTGGTTGCAGAAACATTTATTACCTAGGGCTTCTATTATAGCAAAGTATAATGTACCACACTAAAAACATTGATCCCCATCTGGTTTAGAGATTGCCAAATGGTATAATGATATGTGTGCTCTAGAAGATTTAGAAAGGATATTATATGGCTTGAAAGACACTTCGCTTTATAGGTTTCAGCAGGAACATGATTGCTAGAACCTACTTATAAGGTCCTAATCTTATTTATAACTTACTGGGAAATACATTTTTTCTTAACCTTTATGTTTCGAAAGAAATATCTGCATGTTACCTTAGTGGCCTTTAAGAGCAGCTAGGGATTTTCCTGTTAGTAGTTTAAGAAAAGAACGAATATAGCAATTAAGCTGCATTTCTCATTTCATGGGCATACTGTGTGACCCCAGGCAATAGAGTAAATGTTATTATTCAAAAGAAAGTCATGTGAGCTGAAGACTTTTAAAAAAACCACGGACATATGTTTGTGGTAAAGCTAAACAATAAATAAGTTGCCTACAAGTAAGCACAGTTCATGCAAATACATGAGTAGGTAATTTGGTTACACATCAAATTCTAAGAAGCTCCTTCTTCTAGCCAACTGAAACTGATTTTCACCCAGTGACTTTAAGTCAAGGAAGTCAATTGATTTTAAGGCTCTGCTGAGAAGATGCTGATTCCTTATTTTTTTAAACTAAAACGAAAAAGGAAATTGACCTTCATTTTTTCCATTTCACATTCTGAATTCTCCCTCTTCACCTATTCTATCAAATCTTCTTTCAGAGGAATAGATGTCTCCTCCCTGCTCCTTCCTTCACACATTTTTCATCCATGATTCACAGATCTATAGTACCCAGCTATGTGTCAGAGTTAAAATATAACCTCTCAGACCTCAAGAATCTCTCCTAAGTGAGAAAAGGACTAGTAATCATTTCCATTTACATATCCTGCTAGATTATCAAAGCTGACTGCACGAGGTCCGTTCTCTTACCTGTTTCCTTCACCAACTGATCAAAATTAGATTCTTTTACTCATTCTTTTACTTTTATGACTACATCTCCATATTATTGTTCCAGAAAGATAAGCCTAAAATCTTAATCTTTGACTCTTCACTGTTCTCTTATACTAAATTAGTTATCAAGTTAATTCAAGATTACTGACATATTATTAGTTTAAAACTTTCATTACACATGATTACCTTTTCATTGCCATTGCATTGCTTTAGGTTCTCAGAACTTATAACCACTTATCTTAAATATACTATAATTTCTTAACTGGTAGGCCTAATCTCATACTCTTCAAGTTTGTAACTGTCTTATACAACATATCTAGCTGTTTTCTACTCCTTCATAACTATACTTATCTGCTTATTTCCTATTGTTTATTTTCTACATTCTGCATTGTCTACCTGTGTCTGGCAGTAAGGCTCTTCAAAAATCTGATTTTCTTTGACTTTTTCTAGTTCTATCTAACAATATTTCTTTACTTATCTTCAGCATTGATGTGACATTAGATTACTCACACTGGGACTAGATACCATTGCTATTTTCTGTATATTCCTTTGCCTTATTGACTCTTTAATGGAATACCTTAAAAAAACTACACAGTCTATAAGGCCCAAATTAAAGATTACTTCTTAAATACAGCCATTCCTGAAAAATCTCCTGAAAATTTTTCCCTTATTCAACCTCTTTTTGTAGCATTCGTTATACACTAGGAGAAAAACTGTGTACCTCCTTTTACATTCCAGACATTATGATACTCTCTGTGGACACACCAATAATATTCAAACATTACTTGTTCACAAGAAGCAAATATTTATTCCTAATTTTTAGGTTGTTTTGGGGAAAGAACTTCAGAATTCTAACATTTTGTAAATTATATGCCTTTATTAAGCACCAAATTAAAAAGTGGTAAATTAATTATGGATTTTCTTAAATCTATGTGTATTTTCTTTGTTTTATGACAAATTAGCTGAATTTAAAAATGATCCATATACAGTCAGACCCTAGAAAATCCAACCACATCCAAGCAATAAATTATATTTTCAATTGAATAAAAAATAAAACTTTGGTAAGGAGGCAAGACACTTATTTTGATTCTCACTTTTATTTTTAAATGAATATTATTTACTTCTAATTTGTAAATAAATAATTTTATAGGTAAAACACTCTGATTTTCCTTAAAAAACTAAAAATGTATTAAATTGGAGAGAGGGACAGCATTATAAGTTTTAAAATTGGAATAAAATGTAATCTATTTTCAGGGGAAAATACAACTAAGGTAAAATTGGACTAATAATGCACAAACAGCCCCAATTAAACTTTTTTCCTACATTAACCTTTAAAACATTCATTTCTCTAGATTTTGTTTTTCTAAATGTACTTTTTTTACTGCCAGTCAAAAGATTTTTTATGAGGACTTCCCAGGTTACCCTTTTTTGTTTTTTTAATATAAAAAGGAGTTCTGCAGAGTCCTAGCCCATAAAGTTCCAATTTTAAAAATGTAGACTAAGAATCTCAAATAAAAAATACAGCAGTAAAAATGTTATTAATTTATAGATGGTTGACATTTCATTTCTATTTTCATGGCAGCAATGAAGGTAATATTTAAAGAACTACTCAATGTGATTGAGCTCTATGATGAATACACTTATTCATTTTCATGCATATTTCAATCAGCATGAGGCCATCAGTCATCTGCAATTTAATACAGACCAGTAGCTTGCAATAGACTAGACAATCAACACTTTAAAACACCAAATAACATTAAAAAAAATGACTTAAGAGAATTGTCACGTTAACAATAACATGAGGAAGAAAACAATCTAAGGAGAAATGTAAACACATTAATATATGAGGGGACATTCGACAACTGCTTTGTCTTTTAGAGCAATGGCCAATTCTAAGTGCCAGAAAAGACTCAAAATTCTTTACAAAAGGACAAAAGATGTGTAATGAGAAACGGAGAAGCCAACAGAGATATTATTAATAATAGTTTCTTGATCTCAAAAAAAATAGAAAGTTTTAGAGTCATATTTCCAAATAAGAAAAGGGAGCTATATACTAAATCCAATTGTCTGATTAACCCCTTCCCACTCCAGGATATTTCCTAAATTTTAAAATTATACAAATAAGGAGGCCAAGAAATCAATCAAAATGCTGATAAAAATCCAGGCAGATAGGATGGCAGTCTTGAAATGCTGCAAAGACAATAAAGATTATTAGATTAGAGTCCAGGGATTCTGTGGGTGTGTGGGTGGGTGGGTGTCTTCATGAAATACCCCAAGGATCCAAGTACAAACCAACTTTCAATTAGTTCATGCCCTAATTAATGTTTCAGTTCACATTCTTCATCTTTTTTAAGGCAATTTTTTTCACTCAGTTTTAAATTCAGAGTAAGGGAGGAAGGTACAGTAATTTCCTACATAGTTATTCCTCGAAGACCTAGAGGCAGAAATACCATTTGACTCAGCAATCCCACTACTGGGTATAAACCCAAAGGAATATAAATCATTCTATTATAAAGATACATGCACACGTATGTTCATTGCAGCACTATTTACAATATCAAAGGCATGGAATCAACCCAGATGCTCATTAACAGTAGACTGGATAAAGAAAATGTGGCACATATACATTATGGAATACTATACAGCCATAAAAAGGAAGGAGGTCATGTCCTTTTCAAGGACATAGATAGAGCTGGAAGCCATTATTCTTAGCAAACTAACGCAGGAACAGAAAACCAAACACCACATGTTCTCATAAGTGGGAGCTGAAAGATGAGAACACTTGTTCACATGTGGGAGAACGACACACACTTGGGCCTCTCAGGGTGGGAGCAGTGGGAGGGAGAGCATCAGAAAAAATAGCTAAGGGATTCTGGGCTTAATACCTAGGTGATGAGTTGACCTGTGTAACAAACCATCATGGCACACGTTTATCTATGTAACAAACCTGCACATCCTGCACATGTAGCCCAGAACTTAAAAGTTGAAGGAAAAACATTTTTGTATATACTCCCAGTCCCCACATGTGCATAGCCTACCCTATTATCAACACTTGTAAGAAGAAAGTGTGAACTTACTCTGTAGGTGGATAATATCACACATATAACATTTACAATATTTAAACACAATGTCAAACACTTAAGAAAAAATTATCAGGGGTAGAAAAATGCAGAATATTTTTAAAGGAAAAAACTGTATGTGACATAGATATTAGAGATACTTAGAGAAAAAATATGGAGAAAATAAATAACAAAAATTCTGTCAGACACTGGAATCTATATTAAATAATACAGAAATCTTAGAACAAATAATATATTAACTGAAATTTAAAACTAAACAGATGAATATAACAGAATATTACACACACAGCAAGAAAGAGTAGCTTAATAAATTGTAAATTGAATTAATATAAAATTTTTGCCATGTTCAGTGACTCAGGCCTTTAATCTCAGTACTTTGATGGGCCAAGGTGGGAGGGTTACCTGAGCCCAGGAGTTTGAGACTAGCATGGGCAACATAGCGAGGTCCTGTGCAATCCTGTCTCTACAATTTTTTTTTTTTTTTAATTAGCCAAGCAAGGTGGTGCACACCTGTGGTCCCAGCTACTTGGGAAGATTGATCCCTTTAGGACAGTAGGTCAAGGTGGCAGTGAGCTGCGTTAATTCCTCTACACTCTAGACTGGGTGACAGAGTGAGACCCTATCTCAAAAAAGAAATCACGTGTGTGTGTGTGTGTGTGTGTGCGTGTGTGTGTGTGTGTGTGTGTATGTTGTTTATAAATATATAATATTCTAACTAGAAAGCAGAGAGAAAAATGGTAAAACACATCTAAAAATATTATTAGAAATCTAGATTTAAAGAGTTCATATCATTAGGTCAGCCTCACCCACGTGTCCTCCCAATCATAGTGTCAATTGATTTGGAACTTTAAGTAAAGCAGATTATTCTTTATCGTGTGGATGGGCCTCATCAAATTAGTTGAAAGTCTTAAGAGAAAAGACTGAGGTTTCTTGAAGACAAAGCAATTCTGCTTGAGTACTGCAACATAGAAACCCTACTTGAGTTTCCAGCCTGCTGTTCTTTGCTGTAGTTTTCAGACTCTATAGGGCAACATCAACTCTTTCCTGAATCTCCCACATGTCAACCTGCCCCACATACTTCAAATTTACTAACACTCACAATTGGGTGAATCAATTACTGAAAACAAATCTCTTGGCTTATAGATATGTTTATTTACATTTACATTTATGTATCCTATTGTTTCCATTTTTCTGGAGAATCTAAATTAATACAAAAGTCAAAAGTTATTACTGAAACAGTATTTTAGAAGATGCAAATAAAATGGAATATTCCAAGTAAAAAAGTTTACTAAAATGGAAACAAAATATAAAAAAGAAGTTTGCAGTTGTCCTATATCTACTTTAGAAATTGGGTCTATACTCAAAACTATCTGCTGAAGAAAATTTTTGAATGTATTTGGTTTCACTAGCAATTTCTTTCAAAATTTTAAGTGTGAAATACTTAATGACTGCTTCCATAGGGTTATAATATGACCTATACAGTTTTAACCTAATAATGGGTGTTGTTTGAATCTACTAAGTTTGTGGTCATGTGTTATGCAGCAATCAAAAGCTAATATGTCATGCAAAATGTATACAGTCAGCTCTCTGTATTTGTGGGTTCCACATTCATGGATTCAATCAACTGTGAATAAAAAATATTTTTAAAGTAACAATACAACAATAAAATAAAAAATGAATAGAGTATAACAGATATTTACAATAACTATTTATATAGCATTTCCATTTTATTAGCATTATAAGTTATCTAGAGATGATTTAAGGTATATGGGAGGAAATGTACAGATTATATGTAAATACTGTGCCATTTTATATAAGGGACTTCAGCATCCTTGGATTTTGGTATCCACAGGAGGTTCTCAAGCCAATCCCCCACTGATATCGAGGAAGAACTATATTGTTATTCTAAGGAAAGCAGAAGTAGAACAGAATTTCTGTAGGAAAAAAATACTATAGCAAGCAAAACTTAGTGCTAAAATATTTTCCAATGAGATCAGTACTAGAAGAATGCTATCACCAGTGGTCCCCAACCTTTTTGGCATGAGGGACCAGTTTCATGGAAGACAATTTTCCACAGATGTAGAGAGGGAGTATGGTTTCAGGATGAAACTATTCCACATCAGATCATCAGGCATTAGATTCTCATAAGGAGCATGCAACCTAGATCCCTCATATGCACAGTTCACAATAGTGTTTGCACTCCTATGGGAATCTAATGCTGCCACTGATCTGATAGGAGGCAGAGCTCAGGTGGTAATGCTCACTGGCTCAAGGCTCACCTCCTGCTGTGCAACCCAGTTCTTAACCCGCCAAAGACTGGTATCGATAGCTTTGTGCTATCTACAAGTGATAAACATACATTTTCAATGGCTAAGCAATTCCACCCTTAGGTATTTACCTAAGAGAAATGTGTACACTATTCACCAAAGGCATATATAAGGATTCTTTTAGCAGCAGTTTACATAAAAATCCCATTAAAAAGAAAAAAGTTTATAAAATTTAGAATGGGTTTGTGCTTTGATAAATTCATAAAATGTAATACTATACCACTATGAACACAAATGAACTTGCTATATGCACCGCAATGAATAAATACCAAAAAAAGTAATTTTTAGCAAAACTCCAGCCACAAAATAATGCATATTGTATAATTTAGTTGTTACATGGTTCTAGGGCATGTTATTAAAAATGAGGATATTATTACCTTTTGAGAATAACAGTGAGTAGGAAGGAGAAGGAAGTCTTCTGAAATTAGGGTAATATGACTTTTTTGTGTATTGATTACACTAATTGGGTTCCATTTGTGAAAAGGATATATACCTGTAATTTGTGCACTCACTTATACTTATCTTCTTAAACAAATACATGAAAAACATAATTAGAACTGTAAATTATTTTTAAGTTATTTTATGCTTTTATAATATGAATATTTTGAAAGGAAGTTTGTGTTTATTTAATAAAATATAACAAAGAGCATAATTTAGAATGTGAAAAACAAAAATCCAACAATTAATGGTATTTTATATTACTAAAAGTTAACTAAATTTAAATTACTGTTTAAACATTAAGAATCACAGTATTTATAAAGTGAGGACATGAGAACTAGTTATGGGGTGATGAAAATCTTCTTTATCTTACCGAAAATAAGAGTTACATGCGTATGATTATTACAAATTCATCAAATTATCTACTTCAGAGTTTTTTATTGTCTATTTGTAAATGTTACATTAAAAAGGACTGTAACAAAAAATTGAACTCCAGTTGGTAGGTCTGCTACTTTCAGGAGCTAATCATAATCCATAGACACAAATGACATAAATATGAATTTTGACAACCCAAAAGATTAAACTCAAAGAATATAATTCCAAAAAACATAATTTTGAAAGATATTCAAAACTTTTTTTACAGTTTTAAAACAGGATTTATTTGAGAAACATATAAAAACATGATAGAACGCTTCATAGGCTATTTCAAACAATAAAATTGGCAATAGTAACATACATATTTTTAAAAGCATAAATATTTAGGCATACTAACGATAGTCAGATATAAGTCATGAACAGACAAGCTGAATTCATAAAAATAGGTCAAAAACACAATATATAAATGAATTTCACTATGGTTGATAATTGTGTGCCCCCCGCTTTATAACTGCAGTCCTCAGAAATACTGCGACAGACAACGTAAGTCTTTTGAGGAGTTAGATTAAAAAACCCACAAAGGGTCACCAATGTATACGCAGTCATCCAAAGAGTCAAGATATCAGAAAATTTTCTTTCACAAATGTAGATGAACAGAAAGTATCCAGGTCCCATGGACCTGGCTGAATACCACTTTTTCTAACCCATGGAGCCACCTTGCCCTGACAGTTAGCAAGA
The DNA here is from genome assembly GCF_000001405.40 of Homo sapiens. Lineage (NCBI taxonomy): Eukaryota > Metazoa > Chordata > Mammalia > Primates > Hominidae > Homo > Homo sapiens. The sequence continues at coordinate 104,076,423 of NC_000003.12, forward strand.
GGACAAGACTCACAGAACAAACACCACCGCCCCTCTGTCAGCAGGAAGCAGTTATAGAAGACTGACCTTTATCCATTTTCCCAAATAGTTAGGGTCTTGGACTCTTGAAGGAGGAAGTGTCGGAGTAGATAGTTACGAAGTCATGAGCAAGGCAGGAGAGCGCCCTTCGCCCCAACCAGGAGGGTCAGAAAACCATCAGGTGATGGTCAGGGAGTTGTTAAACTGTCTCTCTAAAATAATCATTTGTTGCAGCTGGTACCAGGGAAAGGCAGTCTCCCTGTAGATAGAAAACACCTGAATCTGCCGCTCATTAACTTCCCAATAAGATTTCAGGAGTTGGGCAAGTGGCGTCAAGCATGCACAAGAAGAGGTAAAATGGCAGAGGAGCTTAACTGGTATATGACCTTCTCTAGGAACACCTGACTAGTAAGAGAAAAACACCTCAAACAACTTCAGGAAACACACTGTGTATGCGGCCCCTCCCAAGTGTTGACAAGCCACTGCGCAGGTGGACAGCCCAACCCGAGGGAAGAATTCGGGGAGAAGAGATGCAAGACCCAGAACAATGCCAACATATAAAACCCCAAGTCAAAAGTCAAACCACACACTTGAATCTCTCAAGTCGCTCACTTGGCCCTCTTCTGAGTGTACTATACTTCCTTTTGTTCCTGCTCTAAACTTTTTAATAAACTTTCACTCCTATTCTAAAACTTGCCCCGGTCTCTTCCTCTGCCTAATGCCACTTGGTCAAATCTTTCTTCTGAAGAGATAAGAATTGAGGTTGGCTGGGCACGGTGGCTCACGCCTGTAATCCCAGCACTTTGGGAGGCCAAGGTGGGTGCATCACGAGGTCAGGAATTCAAGACTAGCCTGGCCAAGATGGTGAAACCCAGTCTCTACTAAAAATACAAAAATCAGTCTGGTGCAGTGGTAGGCACCTGTGATTCCAGCTACTCAGGAGGCTGAGACAGGAGAATCACTTGAACCCAGGGTGTAGGGGGGGTGGTGCTGAGGTTTCAGTGAGCTGAGATCACACCACTGCACTCCAGCCTGGGCAACAGAGTGAGACTCCATCTCAAAAAAAGAAAAACTTGAGGTTGCTGAAGACCTGTACAAATTTGCCACTGCTGACGAAAGGATATCTCTTCATTTACTGGAGAAATTTCAACCTTTTTACATACATGCACAGTGCTTACACACAAAATCAATGTTTTGATAATGCAATCTCATGGAGTCAAATTTCTGATGTCAAAGGCAGGAGAAGAAAAGTCCATCACAGCTCTGAGAGAGAGAGAGAGAGTGGGGAGGAGGGGAGGGGAGGGGAAGGGAGGAGAGGAGAGGAGACCAACGTGCCTCCTGTATTTGTTCTTTTGGAGACCTTGGCTGATTGAATGGTGTCTGCCAACGCTGAGGGCAGATCTTCTCCAAATAGTCCGCTCAGATCCACACACCATTCTCCTCTGAAAAACACCCTTATAGACATACCCCAAATTATGCTTTTCCAGATTTCTAGGTATTCATTAATCCAGTGACACTGGCACCTAAAATTAAGTCCCCAAGTCCACTCCTTGTCAACTTGGCATCCATATACATCTTAAATCACACTTAATTTCAAAATATGGATGATAACAAGGTAACAGTTCCACTTAACATGATGCAACTAACATGGTGTAACTATCCTACATACAATAGAAAACACATTAATGTCTTTCCCAAAATTTGGCTTTCGGGATTTATATATTCTGGATTTCAATCTTTTGTGATTGTGACTTGGGATTTAGATTTTGGGGAATTGATTACTAGCGATTTTGATCTTTTGCAATCTCAACATCTAAGATTATAATGCTCAGATTTGTGTTTTAGGATTATTATCCAACTCTACTTTTTTCAATGCTATGAGGTAGTAATTTTGAGTCTCTTATTATTATATTTGAGGTTGAACTAATGAATAAATATATTTAAAATCAGGGAGTCAGGTCTTATTTGAAAAAAAGCTGAAAACAAATGAAAGGAAGATTAAAGTACACCTTGTGGTGTTTGATCATATTGGGGAAAGGGAGGCAGAAGAGAGGAGAGGGAGACAGAATAAGGAGAGAAAGAGGGAAAGGTAGACTAAATGTCTAAATACAAGAAATAAGTATACCTTTAAAATCTATATTTCTTAGCTATGTCTAATGTAAAGACTCTAAGGCAATGGTACTTAAATAGCAAAGAACAACTGTAGTATTCAGATCTTACGATGAAAATCTCCTATTCTATTCAAACTAACCAATGCTCCTATGATAGAAGGAGAAGGGAAAGTAGAAGATGATTGTGCTTACACATGGTCACAGAATAATAGAGACAAATCAAAAGGATGTAGTTGCTGTCTTAAAGGGGCTCTCACAGGTGAAACCTGGAGAAATTTGAACATGAAAATAAAGATAATAATGAGTTATAATGTACTAAATAACAGAAGACATTATGATTTCATGCTGGTATTAATAAAGAATAAATACACACATGCAATAGAAGGAAAAGCCCTTTCTTACATTCAAATGACAACTTAAAAATATAGATTAAATATATATTTAATCTATATTTTTAAGAGTTAGGAAATTATTCATTGATACTTAATAACAAATTTATTTTAAAAAAGATATCCACATAAGCTTAAAGAAGTTTGCCCCAAAATATGTCATAGTTGTGAAAGGAAATATGATAGATGTATAGTGAAGAGACCTAAAGGACACTACCTTACCAAGTGATCAGAGTTAACATCAAAGTCTGATAATAATGTAATAGTACATTTGTAGTATTCCTCCCTAAAGTGCGTAACTTGAATCACATCTTGAGAAAGCATTCAAGAAACATAAAATGGATAACATCTTATTTTTCAAAATATCCAGGTAAAGTACAATTTAAAAGAAAAGAAGGTCGAAAAGCTTGCAAATTAAAAGTACTAAGGAGATACAGCAACTAAATGCAATGAGTGATTCTCCATTGGATCCTGAATCAAAGAAAGAATAAACCTGTAAAGGACGTTATTGAGACAATTGAAAAGATCTTGTTATGGAATCTAGATAACATTTGATAAATACTAATTTTTTACTTTGATAATTGTGCTGTGGTTTTATGAATGAATGTCTTTGTTCTTGTTTTTTAGAAAATGCACATTCTAGTTCTTAGGGTTGAGCAGCATGTTGTGTCCAATGTACTCTCCAATGTAAGATGTATTTTCATGTCTAATTGTGTCTATCTCTTTGTGATTATCTTTTGAGAGTCATCTGAATTTCCTGGAGTAAACCCTGAGGAACTACAAAAGAACTCCTTATTACAAACCGAAGAGAAACTGGCTATAGCTATGTAATTGATCCAATGCACAGATGATGCTAACCTTTAATGGAGCCCTATTGAATTGAATATAGAATGCTTTCTGCATTGGTTCACTCAGCTGTGCATTGTAACCTTAAATCTGCACAAGAAAATATGTACATAAAAACTTACCTTGAAGTATTCTGTGTGTAGGCAGTTCAGACTGAGCCTATATTTATGTCTTTATATCCATATACTTGACATATTATTTATATTAAGAGTATGCCACCTGAGTACTGTATTGACTACACACTGAAGCTTAAAACAGTATATAGCTATTTAAAAAACAACCCATCTGAGTAAGGGGAGGCAATTACCATTATTGCCTGCCAGTTATGTAAGTTAAATCCCCTTGTATAAATATGTTCTCAAGAGAAGATGACAGATTGCCTCTTTGTTAAATTAAGAAGGTTCAGAGAATGCCATTTTGTAAAACATTGCCCTGCTGTTTCCACACAGGCTCTACTACTCATATTTGTAATCAGACTCAAGTACACAAGTGGACAGAGCTTGCCTGGATTCATAGCCCTATTTCATATCTAGAGGTTTTCTTTGATGGATTTGTATTGTCTGCAAGCCCATATGGTGACATGTGGAGATAGTGTACAAAAAAAATTAAACAGGCACATAAGTTACAAAACGATGACTAAGCTATTTTATCTACTAAGCTACTTAATGCTATTGGCAAAATCAAAGCATTGAACACATTGCTAGGGAATAAAGATGACTGGTGATATTTTTGAATTTTTTTTCTCTTAGCTGGTATGGAACAATAATGTGATGAGTATGGGTGGAGAAGTATAACATTATGTCCCATATTTTCTAGTGTGGGTATGTCTGTAAGCATTGAAATAAAGACTTTTTAAATAAAACAGCTTTAAAAACAATGTAAATTATCTAAACTACACTATTACCATTATTGACAAATAATAAGGAAAATGGCATTTTACAATTGGTTAGAACCTTGTTTACCTTCTATCAACAAATTCTATTTAAGTGTAGATAATGTTAAGTTTTAATTGTTTCTGTGTTTTACAATTTATATCTATTGTAATGGCACTCAACTATTGAGTTGATTAAAACTTCATTGCACTTCTAAAAGCACACTTTGTTGAGACTAATTGTGTAACTGTGCAAGCTCTGGAAGGAGCTTTTTCTCTTCCTTTTGCCTAAGAACTACCTGAGTTATTAAAAATGCATAAAACAATACAATACCACTGGCTAAAGATACTTTAAACAAAATATATTTAAAAATCTACATTATATGAAAGAGAAAACTAAGTCCAAGTAGTTTATATTGTGATCCTGATACCTTGCCTATAGTAATTTATTTTTAATAGACGTAAAGTCTTAATAATTTTGAAGTCTAGCTACACATCTGGCACTAGTCTGGTAAGTGTGAGAAACATAAAAAGGAAAGCCTTGTCTTTATTCTTAGGTACTATATCTAGCAGGGAAAATGAGGTGTAAATGATGATATAGTTAGGTTACATTATACGATTAAACCACATTTCAAAAAAATAAAAAAGTAGCTAGTGCCATTGACTCATTGTTAAACTAATTGTATATTTAGAAGTAATTTTAGAAATTTGGAAGATGGTAACAAAACTGTGTAATGACCTAATTTGAAAAGTATTCATGCTAAATAACAGTGGACCTAAAGTGTTAGAAGGATTTGAATAGACAGAAAGATAACAGGGTAGTAACTAAAGTCAAAGTGACTTAAAATTCGAAATAACACTTTAAGAATAATGGAAATATTCCCCTTCCTGTGTCCATGTGATCTTATTGTTCAATTCCCACCTATGAGTGAGAATATGCGGTGTTTGGTTTTTTGTTCTTGTGATAGTTTACTGAGAATGATGGTTTCCAATTTCATCCATGTCACTGTGGTGGGGGGGGTGGGGGGGATAACATTGGGAGATATACCTAATGCTAGATGACGAGTTAGTGGGTGCAGCGCACCAGCATGGCACATGTATACATATGTAACTAACCTGCACAATGTGCACATGTACCCTAAAACTTAAAGTATAATTAAATAATAATAATAATAATAATAATAATAATAATAATAATAATAGTAACAATAATAAAATAGCTCTGTGGACTCTGAAAAAAAATAAAATAAAATAAAAGGAGTAACTTAACGCTCTACTGTTAAAAAAAAAAGAATAATGGAAATAAATTGTGAAATGTTTGTTCAAGCTGTGTTTTTTAAGGTTATTTATTTTAAGGGGCAGTAGATGAGGTAGGAATCAAGTAAACTTCTTTTTTAGTATATTTGGCCACTAAAGACAAAAATTAAAATAGCTACATAAGTTATAAATCAATGTAACTTTATTTGGTCACAAAAAACAAAACCAGTAAATTGAAATTATGTCCCTCCCCTTATCCTTATGGTAAAAAGTTCTTAGCTATAATTTTCTTGGTACGAAGTAAGGGGGAAAAAAGAGTCATTGGATAATTTAGGAAGAATAATTTGTCTTTGAAAAATGAATATTTTGCATTTTGTAGGCTCTATGTGCATCCTGAAGAACATGAATGTTTTATAACAGCGTTGCTGTACCTTGAACAAATTGTATGTGACTCAATGGAGATTTGTATAAAAATTATCTGTGGAATCACACTCTACATGACTTATGACTACATGATGCTTTATAAACACCATCAGTTGTAAATATCATTATACTAATGTTAAGAAGTTATGGTTCACAACAACCACACCTGCTGTGGCTTTAATGGTATAAATTCTGAGATACAAGGATTTTTAGGAGTTTTAAATAGGAAAATCTCAATTTCAAAATGCCTTCTACACCAATGGCTTTGATACTGTAAATAATGTTAATTGATATATTTTAATGGCGTATTTAAATTAATCTGTTCCCTATTCTGAATTCTAAAACTTATGAATCTCAATCTTAAGTAAATTAGGTAAACAAAAAGATTTACTGTATTTAGTACTTCAATCCATAAATTTGCAAGGGACACTGATGAATATATTCAAATATTCAATGAACTTTCAGTAGAAAAGTATAAGTACTTGTCCTTTAGTACTCAGGGTATATTTAATAAGAATGCAATTGTGTGTTTGCTTCAGTAGATTATTGATTTGGTGAGGTAGAGACTGAATTAGTGATGTTCAAAACATATTTTGGAGCCTACCATAGTACCTTACTTGCTGGACGTGTCTGATAAATATTTACCAAATAAAATGTTTGTGAAGTCGACTAGGAGAGAAATGAGGAAGGAAAATAAAATTAACAGAGCTATTTATGAATAGAAGATGCTGCTTTGTGGGACATCAAATTATCTCCAACAGAAAATATACAAGCATAGATACAATAAATAATGTAAAAGAGAAGCATTAAGGTAATCAGGATTTGACCTAGTATTAGTGTTTTTCCAATTCTGTTTTTTACTCTCTGATAGAGTGGTGTAATTAAAACCTCATAATAGGCTGGGTGTGGTGGTTCACAACTTTAATCCCAGCACTTTGATAGGTCAAGGCAGGCAGATCACTGGAGGTCAGGAGTTTGAGACCAGCTTGGCCAACATGATGAAACTCCGCCTCTACTAAAAATACAAAAATTAGTGGGCATGGTGGTACACGCCTGTAATCCCAGTTACTTGGGAGATTGAGGCAGGAGAATCACTTGAACCCAGGAGGCAGAAGTTTCAGTGAGCCATGATCATGCCACTGCATTCCAGCCTAGGCAACAGAGCAAGACCTTGTCTCAAAAAACAAAAAACAAAACAAAACAAAAAACTCATAATAAAGTTTTATTCACATTTTGCATGTGTGTGTTGCTGTTGTTTGTGTGTGTGTGTGTGTTTTAAACTTGGCACGTGAGATGATAGAAACTTATTTCAAACTAGCTAGAAAATGAGAGATATGAAATGTGTTAGCTCATGTAAGTAAAACAATCAAGGATGAGTTTAGTCTTTGTAAATATAGTTAGAGAAGTGTTACCGGTAAAGATTTTTTCTTTAGATTTAACGGCATTTGGATTATTATCAATACATTTTTGTTTAATCATTTCTTATACTCCAGCTTATTGAATGTGAAGTATGTATATACGTTTGTGACTGTCATTAATTGACCAGCTTCTGCTGTTTCCAATATATGTCAGGCTTCATAGGGTATCTAATTAGACATTTAGCAACAGAGTCAGGTCTGTGATGTTATCATTTTCCATGTGAGGAATAAGATTATCAGAGAGTTAACTTACCCCAAGCCACACAGGAGGTAAAGAGGTTAAAATCTGCATCTAATAGGCATGGGCAAGGACTTCATGTCTAAAACACCAAAAGCAATGGCAACAAAAGTCAAAACTGACAAATGGCATCTAATTAAACTAAGGAGCTTCTGCACAGCAAAATAAACTACCATCAGAGTGAACAGGCAACCTACAGAATGGAAGAAAATTTTTGCAATCTACCCATCTGACAAAGGGCTAATATCCAGAATCTACAAAGAACTCAAACAAATTTACAAGAAAAAACAACACTGTCAATAAGTGGGCAAAGGATATGAACAGACACTTTTCAAAAGAAGACATTTATGCAGCCAACAGACACATGAAAAAATGCTCATCATCACTAGCCATCAGAGAAATGCAAATCAAAACCACAATGAGATACCATCTCACACCAGTTAGAATGGTGATCATTAAAAAGTCAAGAAACAACAGGTGCTGGAGAGGATGTGGAGAAATAGGAACACTTTTATACCGTTGGTGGGACTGTAAACTAGTCCAACCATTGTGGAAGACAGTGTGGTGATTCCTCAAGGATCTAGAGGTAGAAATACCATTTGACCCAGCCATCCCATTACTGGGTATATACCCAAAGGATTATAAATCATGCAGCTATAAAGGCACATGCACACATATGTTTATTGCAGCATTATTCACAATAGCAAAGACTTGGAACCAACCCAAATGTCCATCAATGATAGACTGGATTAAGAAAATGTGGCACATATACACCATGGAATACTATGCAGCCATAAAAAAGGATGAGTTCATGTCCTTTGTAGGGACATGGATGAAGCAGGAAACCATCATTCTCAGCAAACTATTGCAAGGACAAAAAACCAAACACCACATGTTCTCACTCATAGGTGGGAAATGAACAATGAGAACACCTGGACACAGGATGGGGAACATCACACACCGGGGCCTGTTGTGGGGCGGGGGAAGAGGGGAGGGAAAGCATTAGGAGATATACCTAATGTAAATAACGAGTTAATGGGTGCAGCACACCAACATGGCACATGTATACATATGTAACAAACCTGAACGTTGTGCACATGTACCCTAGAACTTAAAGTATAATAAAAAATAAAAATAAAAATAAACTGTGTCTATGCTTATTAATATATTTACATACACTTTATTGCCTACCTCATGATAAGTGTTTGCAATTTGATTAACTGAATTTTAAAAATGCTAAAACTTCCTTGTGTTCTTGAATTATCACAATAAACACAAGCATATATTCTCAGTAAATGGCAAAAGTATCAGAAAAGAAAGGCTTTTATTTCCTTGTCAATTCATTTGGGCATTTTAAAACCTACTTAGGTATTATCACCTTTCAAAAGCACTATTTTCTTTTCAGTGATATTTCCTTGCTTCTATCCTCTACACATATTTGTTTGAGTATAGTCCTTGGCTTAGAAATAAAAAAGAAAAAGCAAACAATTTTATCTATCTATCTTCCTTACTGTAGAAAGTTTAATGAGTTAAAGTAAATTAGATTGTCAATACTACATTTTCTTGAAAAACTTAAGTGGAATTCAAAATGCACTCTAGGAATTTTGTTTCCTTAAAAAAATGCATTTTTGAATTTAACATTATTTCTACTTTCTTTTTCTTTTGTCGTCTGACAACTGCAAATATTTTTGACAAGTAGCAAATAAGCACATAACTGTTTCTACCAAAAGTCAACAAAAAAACAACCAAATATGTACAAACACTCTATGAACTAACAAATAAGTACCCTGTAAATAACTCAAAAAGAATCTTCAAATGATTTGCTGGGACAGAAAAGACAATACTAGGAAGCAAACTTTCTAAATTGTTGAAGAAAGATACATGCCTAGCACATATTTTCATTGTTCTCAAGCTATGTTGAAGTTCTGATCTCTCAGAATTAACTTTGGTGTGATTCTCTTGTATAATGTTATGGGGTTGCTCTAGAACAGGAGATCTCTGTGCAAATAAACTGATAAGAAGCAACAAAAGAAGCCTCAGAAACATTCAGAGATAGAGTAGCTAGCCCCTCTGATGCTCTTTTTTTTCTCTTCTCAATATAATCAGTGTTCTTGTAGATCAAGGGTTGCTATTGATACTAGTCACATTTGTTTTCATTTTTCTTCCATAAAGTCAAAGTGAGTGTGTTCCTGAATCTTATGTAATTTTCTCTGGATTTAAATGGCGTGACTTAACTTTCCGTTCCAAATCTCATTCACAATGTTTTTACAACTTATATTTGTTAAACAATTGTTTATTATAAGTATTTTTCCTAGAGTTTTTTATGCAGCAGCTCATTTAAAATTTAGAACAATCTAGTCTGTCACCCAACTCCCTTTATTTTATCCACTTAAAACTATCTATCTAATTACTTTAATATATGTAGTACATTAGAACATTTTAATGGGAAAAAAGGAGATACCTGAAGCCTTCTTTAATATGAAGTTGCCACATGCTGTGTGATTCGGTCATTGACTTTTGCTTTAATTCTCAAAAGTCTGATAATTTGTATTGTAGACAAATGACCTATAAACTGGATAAACATTATTGCTATTTTCAGAATGTATGAAAGCAATTGTTCAAAATCTATACAAGAGCTAGACAAGCGTATTTCATACGAAGAGAAAGATCATGGGAGAAAAAGAGTGGCGCTAGAGCTTCTTAACCTCAGATTAAGAAGCTCTTTCTATATAATATATATATAATTATATATAAATATTATATTTATATTATATTACATTATATATAATATATTATATATTAATATATATTAATATATATTAATATATAAAATATGCTGTCAATTGTGATTAAAAATTTCTTAGCTATTTGTTAGATATCTTATGTTTATGTGCATAATATTAGAGATTTTAGGCCAGAAGTAGTGATACTTCAGAAAGAGGAGCTATGGCAGAGGGCAGCCAATACTATCTAATAGTATGATATCTCATTCACCTATGAGAACTGCAGTGACTAAAATAAATCTAAGCATCTAGGCATTTTTTGAAGTGTGGCTCACTTGAATTTCATAAAATTTGGTATTTTTAATTCTCCAAAATGCAAAGATCACATACTTTTAGTAATTAAGGAGAGGTTTGTGCACCTAAAATCCAAGAAAAAAAATATTATAGCATATTTTAAAAATCTATAATTGTTTTTTACTTTTTTACTACTGAAATGTATATGCTCCCTGAAGTTTGGGATTTAAATAATGTAGAGTTCACTAGATGACACAGAGATAGTGAAGGGGGCAAACTTGTAGGATAAAGATTTTTTTTTTCTTTTTCTTTTTTACAGTTATATAAATTTGAGAAATAAAACATGATGTTTTGATATACATATGCATAGTGAAATGATGACTAGAGTCAAGTAAATTAACCAGGTTATCTTTTTAGATAATTAAGTGTATAACCAAATATTGATCCTCATCTATATTAAAACAATATTTGACACATATTTTAGGAAATTCTCAAATTTTACACTTAGCCCGAAATTTTGACTGCAAATTTAAAAATTCATGTTAATATTTAGACTGTTTTTTTACCTTAGGAAGATGTATATTAACTATTTAATCTCAATACCAACCCAGTCAATACTACAATTAGTATCGTCAGCACCATATTTACCAATATAAAAATTGAGTAACAGAAAGGTTATGTAATTTCCTTAAGATTATGCAGCCAATATATGACAAAACAGATATGAACCAGAGCAGTGTGAATCCCAGATTTGTAGCCCAAACTCCTGTATTACACTAAAGGGTAGTTATGTGAACAGATGAGAAAACTGATGCTCACCTAAGTTCTTCGTGCATTTTTTAATACACAGTAGTATAAGTGTGAATGGATACTGAATGGGTTAAAAGTCTTGGTACTAACTGTGCATCCAGAAGTTAAAAGAACATATTATAATGTCTCTTTAAGTAAAGTTCACAAAAACAGAAGAAATAAAATACTACGGTCTTGCTTTATCACCACTATGTGGAAGCCAAGGTTTTTTCAAATCTATTTCTCTAGTTAAGAAAGGTTAAAAAGGCAACTCAAGTGTTCACATGCTCTAGTGAAGGCTGACCTTAAATATAAGGCATGCTCACACTTTCTATTTTGTCGTTTCCAAGGCACCTCTCATAGAATGACTAGAGCAGCAAGTTTTTGAAAGGCAATGGTACCTATCAGCCAGGAGCTCAACTTAAACATTTTTGCTGGGTGTACATAAATTTGAGGCAACTTTTGACGGTTTTATAACATTTTACTCTTACTATGTTTCAAAATATATAGAAGGTAAAAAACTAAAAAAAAAAAAAAGTTTGCTTAAAGAAATAATTGTATGGGAGCTGGGTGCAGTAGCTCACACCTGTAATCCCAGCACTTTGGGAGGCCAAGGCGGGCACATCACCTGGGGTCAGGAGTTCGAGACCAGCCTGGCCAACATGGTGAAACCCCATCTCTACTAAAAATACAAAAGTTAGCCTGGTGTAGTGGTGGGTGCCTGTAATCCCAGCTACTCAGGAGGCTGAGGCAGGGGAATTGCTCGAACCCAGGAGGCAGAGGTTGCAGTAAGCTGAGATCGCACCATTGCACTCCAGCCTGAGTGAGAGAGCGAAACTCTGTCTCAAAAAAAAAAAATATATATATATGAATTATTAGGCATGCTAAAAGTGTTGGATTTTCTTGGATCTTCAGCCTCCATTCAATATTTATTTGACAAAAGCTAATTTGCTGTGTATTGAAATATAGGGGAAAAAGTTTCTTTGCTGGAGCCCCAGAACAGTTTGGGTGATGGATGCTCAAAGATGGGTATTTAAAAGGCAAGCTCACAGCAGTGAATTGCTGTACCCAGTTATATGATGAGTAGCACCCTGTCAGCTTTTCCTGACAGAAATTGACATGAACTGAGGAAGATGACAACTTTCCTAAGTCTGAGGTCTCTGAAGTGTGTCTGTTAAACAGATTGCTTCTGTAATAGATTGAAAAAGACATCTAATAGTCAGAGAGCAGAGCTAACTGTTAAGAAATAGAAGGGCCTTGGTTCCTAATCCCTCTTGAGAGATGAGCCATTTAACCTACTCCCTGATGCAGAAATCTTGATACTTAAGAGGTTTCTCAGGTAAGAGTTTTGAATTGTTCTGTATCCTGCACCAGGGCTGATCTTTATGATACAAAGAACTCAGGAGGGTGGTTGGATCCTAACTAATTTAAGTGCAGCTTGTGACTGGTCACAGTTTCCAACATGAAAAGATTGCAATATAATAGTCATCTAATCGTTCATTTTATACCTATCTGCCCAAATCTGCTTTTGTTTGTAAGTTTCCTAGTTGTGTGTTTTCTTTTCCCTAATCATAATCTAACTTCATCCTGAGCAGGCACTATGTGCTGACTCGTTTTATTCTGACTACTTCCAATGTGCTGACTAAAATGCTTGCTAATAAAATAGTCCCTTATCTCAATAGCTTATTGTGGGCCCCAATAATTGTCCTTGGAATCTATCCCTAATAAGTTATTAAGTCTCAAATAAGCTAGAGAAATCAATGTTTTATGACCTTCCTTGTGGTGAAAATAAGAGAGCTAGTCTAGAAAGATCAATCAAGTTGCCCAAAGTTGTGTAATGTATCATATTTGTTTATGCATATCCTGTGTTGATCTAAAAAAGATTTATGGCAGTTTAAAACAATGCCTGACAGCAGGAGTGAAAAGAAAACAGGTAAACAAGATGAACAATAATAGACAAGAGATAAATAGGTATATAAAAAGAGATCACTTCAGTGAAATCATATACATATTCTAGAAGTAGAATATTAATTTATCTCTAAATTTTTAGCAGCAAACTGAACAGGAAGTTAAAATCAGTAATATAATTTTAGAATGTTTAATAATAAAATCACACAAATTAAGAATACAGAGAGCCTATAAATGGACGTGCAAGTAGGAAAGATATCGCTAAATTCTTTTCCTAGCAAGGAATATTAATATTAATACCCTGGGAAAGGAATGCATTCCTAGGGGGAGGTCTATAAACGGCCGCTCTGGGAATGTCTGTCTTGTGTAGTTAAGATAAGCACTGAGATAAGCCCTGGTCTCCTGCAGAACCCTCAGGCTTACTAGGGTTGGAAAAACTCGTTAAATTTATGGTCAGACCAGTTATCTGCTCTCCAACCCTGTTCTCTGTTGTTTAAGATGTTTATCAAGACAATATGTGCACTGCTGAACATAGACCCTTATCAGTGGTTCTGCTTTTGCCCTTTGCCCTGTGACCTTTGTTGGACCCTTGTCAGTGGTTCTGCTTTTGTCCTTTGTCCTGTTCCCTCAGAGGCATGTGATCTTTGTTAGACCCTTGTTAGTGGTTCTGCTTTTTGCTCTTTGAAGCATGTGATCTTTGTACCTACTCCCTGTTTTTATGTCCCCTCCCCTTTTGAAACCCTTCATAAAAACTTGCTGGTCTGAGACTCAGGCAGCCATCACATCCTACCAATATGTGATGTCACCCCTGGCGGCCCAGCTGTAAAATTCCTCTCTTTGTACTGTCTTTCTTTATTTCTCAGCTGTCCAACACTTATGGAAAATAGAAAGAACCTATGTTGAAATATTGGGGGTGGGTTCCCGCAATAGGTTTAATAATATGGATATTAAAAGTGATAATATTTACATCATATTTTCCTTAAAAATGTTGGAGCACATTATTAAAGTTTCAGAATGAAGAACTGTAGGGAGACCCCCCTGAAACTATTGCTACGGAATAAAAGATGAAATGCTGTACAGTACTTCTACATACAGATGTTATGTTAAAGAATTACTTCATCTTCATGTGACCATCTCACCTCATAATCAAATGACCCTAAATCCCTCACTAACCTACCCCCGCCCTCATTAAACTTAATAATAAATGCTGGTATATCCAGTGCATTATTGGCACCATGGGACCAGAAAGCAGTGACCCCCCTGTACCCAGCTTTCACTATCTTGTGTGTGTCTATTATTTCTCGACCTGCCGATCTGCCTGGGAACAAAGAGACAGCGCCATTGCATTGCGGGCTGCTGGCCAGATCCCGCAATAAAGAACCATCTAGATTCAGCTTGGATTTGAATTGAGGTAAAAGATGGTGAGACCAACAATGAGTTTTAGAATAATTTATAATTGTCCCAGCCTACATTTTATTTCAGGAGTTGCCTTTCTAACCACTGTTAAAAATAACCAGGGCAGCCGAGATGGACCTCTCTCGGGGTTAGCTCTCTACATGAAAACAGACAATCTTGTCTGGGAGTCTTTATAGGTGGGATCCCAGATATCACAACTTTGCACTTTTTGTAGTTGATTCTTTATATATATATATAATATATATGTTATAATATATATATTATATATATAATATATATATTATATATTATATATATTATAATATATATATTATATATATTATATATATTATATATATATAATATATATATTATAATATATTATAATATATAATATATATATTATATATAATATATATTTTATATATATATATTTGATTTAACTGAGCCAAAATGTGGAAAAAAAATTATTGAGAAATGAAATGGCTGAAGATGAATAACATGTGGTTGATTGGTAAGCCTTTCTTTTATTTCAATCAACTGAGATTCTCATCACCTTTCTAATAGTTCCACCTTCACCACCCTTTTCTATTTTTATTTAATCTAGTTGGGTAAAGTTGCTAATATTTGCAAAGTAATGCAATAGCTTTTGTGGGAAGGTTATTTTTTCTGACAAATGGAACTAGAATTTATTTTTTATAGATTAGTTCCTTACACTGAATGTGTCCAGAGTGACTATAGTCTCATTTATATCACTGCTAAGCCATATTGCTTTTTAGATTATAAATGACCATTGTAAACAGCAAAATTTATTCTTGAAGGTAAAATACTCTACATATTATTTTTTATATAATATGACTTAAAAGGAGAATGTGATTTATAAAACCCTGCTATATATGCCTTTATTAGTACCAGGGAATCAAGCCCAGGTTGATTGTCCCAATAACTAAGTTGGTTAATTTCTTTAGCCATAAAGAAAAACAAATTTTATATTTTCATATGTTTCAGTCACAAGGACCACTATTGATCCTCATGTTGACACCATCCATTCACACAGGCAGTCAAACTATCACTAGTCTTCTACTTGGCTCCAGGTAAAGGAATTAACAGCTGGTGGCAAAGCTAATTAGGCCCAATTATTACCCACCTGACCTAATTTGCCATCAGAAGTCTGAGAAGTCATCTGAATTACCAAATAGAGATGTAGCCACTATATACACATGAGTCCCATGGATAATTTATTTCTAATGAAACTCATTTGGAGAAGAGAAATGCACTGATTGTGATACAATAATCAAAAGGAGGGACATCATCTGTGTCAAATGTCCTGAAGGAAGATGATAGGGTAATATAATGGTATTTATTCATTATTCTACTCATGTACTTTTTTTTCTCAGAGTAGTTCTTTCTGTAAGTTAAAAAGAGCCCTTAATTTTATTGTTAAAGGTCTGAGCTTCAATTTGCTCACTTGATAAGGTGAGCTAATTGATAAATCCTTTCATCTGTGATTTTTTGCCCCATAGGTCATTTATTTGAAATGATAACTAGGTGCAAGACATTCTTCTTGATTTTTTTTAGTTTCTAGTTGGTTAAGAAAATCCACACTTATGCATATAGGTGATTTGGGATCACCAGAATTGTTGATGTCTTCTAAGAGGAGAGCAGAGTGATCTGGGCAACTAAAAGTAATCAATGGGGCATCATTTCCATCCAGGCTTAGCCAAAGGAGATCCTGCACTGGCATATGCTTAGCATAAAAGGTATTCAAGGGACAGCTGAACAAATGGAAGGTGATCCAAAAATACTCTTTCTTATTTATTGTATAATTCTTTTTCATCGGTAGAAAAACATATTCTGAATCACAGGAACTTTCAAGTTGTGCTGAAGAATGAGAGTGTAAACAGAATATAGAAAATAACAAACTTCAACTCTCAAAGTAACTATTACACAAGACGATGATGAAAAAGGATTAAAAGGAAAAGATCATTTATAATTGCAAATATTTCATCAGATCACTGAGAGAGTTAGCAAAGCACATTTCTGTTAAAGGGAAAAAGAAACAACTCTTCTTACACCTTGTCCTTTATTCTGCTTGCGAGCTAGCTAGCTATAGATCCATATCTGGTAGCAAAGGAGCAGCTTCTAATCTGCTCACACAAAGCTGTCTAATTAGTTGGTACAATTGTAGCAACAGGTCAGTCAGGGGCAGGCAATGGAGGGAAAGCAGTACTATCCCTTGCAGAATTTGTGACTTTTTATAACAAGCACTTGACTTGATCCTCTCAATTTTATCCTTTCAATTTGATACTTTATACACTTTTTTAAAGGGCTGGTGACTCTGTGACACATTGAAACCACCATCAATCATATCTAATTTAGGATGATTTAAAGTTCTGAGAGTAGGTATCAATGAAAAATGAGTGGTAAAGATGCATGAGGGCATTTCAATAACATAGAGGTGTGTAAGGCAATAACTCCAATCGGACAAATAGAAATTTCACAGAGAAGAGTGTATGAAGAATTGACGTTGTTCCTTAGCCAGTGAGAGCCATTCCTGACAAGTCCAGTAACTCAGGAGACCAGAAAGTGGACCCACTTATTTGCATGAAGGAGATCACGAGTCCACTTACCTATTTCTTTATTCATCTTCTTCAAACAAGCAACACAAAGCTACATAGGACAAAATCAAGTCTTATATATTTAGTCCTAATATTACAAAGCTAATAACAATGTATGTATCTATGTGTGGAGCTTGCACTATGCATCTGAATTGCTGTCAAGCAATTAATAAGATATAAATAACATCATATTTAATACAAAAAGTCTATAAGCCCCATTTTATAGACAAAAATACTATGGCACAGAGAAGCCAAATATATTTTATAAGGATATAGGTCCAATATAAGCAACATAAGTCCAGGCAGCCTAGTAATGGGCTTATACTATAAGTTTTTATACTGTCTTATTAAAAAGACAAAAAAGAAAATCTGAATAAGAAAAAGATTAGCCTATAGTGAATAAATAAGTACATTTCAAATATTTTAGGAAGGGAATGTATTTATTTGACAAAACAATCATGAGTTTTGAAATTATATGCAAATTAAGACAGTCTTGTAATATGCTTAACATAGCTATTGTTCTTCATACACTAAACAGATTTATTTATCTTCCTATAAGATGGATGAAAATTTTCAGCAATGTAATTTTGGCTCTGAATCACTCTCAGAAAATGGACCAGCAGTTCCCTTGATTTGATCTACTCAGCAGGTCAGGATAGATGGGTCTCCATCACCACCTGTCATTGAGTACATTAGCATTGTCAACCTCCACATCCAATTACATGCTAGCTGTGTGGCCAAAACACTCTGGGCCTTCCTTGTCTCCAGTGTCTTCTTTTAGATGTGTGTACAAGATTATTTGCCTCCTGATGCTGGAGGTGGCTTCCTGGGATAATCTGACATAAGAACAGAAAAAAATGTGACCTAGCCCAGTGCTGGAGACTGCCTTTGTGTTATTAATAATGTTGTTTCTTAAAACTTGAAATCCTATATCTTAATAAATACATATAAATTTTTTTAAATAAAGTAATTTTTCCTTGGCAGCTGAGATGCTGATGCTCTGAGATATCATTTCCCATTTAGAATCAGCAGCACAGCATAGAGGTTTTTATTCTGCTGCCAGATCATCTCACGAGCATTTATATTCCTTCTCCACCTAATTCCAACATAGTATCTTACCACTGAGATCGGATTAAGAGTTTCTTCTGATAAAATTTCAGCTTCAATTTTTAAAAATAATATTGATATCTGCAAAGTATGTGCCACTATTAACAGAAAGGTCTCAGAACTAGGAAAAAAGAAGCAATTACTTTCCCACATATTAGTGCATGTGGGGTGTATATATGCACACACATATAAATAATGTACACCAAAGATATGGCCAAAGGTTATAAAAGTTGTTAGTCAGTTGTTTAACAGTACAATGGTTTAATTTTTGATTTTTTTTGTTGTTTATGACGTGCTACTTTTATCCTTTTTGTATCTTATCATTTATTTGCTAATGTTACATGTCCTCGCAGAGAGTGGAAATATGAATAGAGAATTTGCAGGAAACCTGATTAAACCTTATAAAAGGCTGGGTGTGGTGGCTCATGCCTGTAATCCCAGCACTTGGGGAGGCTGAAGTGGGTGGATCACGAGGCCAGGAGTTCGAGTCCAGCCTGACCAACATGGTGAAACCCCGTCTCTACTAAAAAAAATACAAAAATTAGGCGGGCGTGGTGGCGTGCGCCTGTAATCCCAGCTACTCAGGAGGCTGAGGCAGGAGAATCGCTTGAACCCGGGAGGCGGAGGCTGAAGTGAGCTGAGATTGAGCCACTGCACCCCAGCCTGGGTGACAGAGAGAGAGACTCCATCTCAATTAAAAAAAAAAAATTATAAAAGCAACGCATAAACTCTGGAACTTACTTTTCTTTTGTACTCTGTCTTGTCATTTCATTCAGAATGGGTAAGTGTAATTTTAAAATGTTTTAAAATAAAAATTTTTTGAGTAATGTTTCTAATTTAATTAAATAGAAACACAGTCAATGAAATAGAAATGATTAGTGATAGAAGTAAACATAATCATAAAGTTTTCTTTACTTTGCTTCCACTTATGGAGTTTTGAAAACTTCTAAAATAAAACCCACAAAACAGGAGGGTAAAATAATTAAGCACCTGAGAGAAGGAACAGAATTCCTGTATTCTAATCTCAGATGAAACTTTTTTCTTTTTATTTTTTTAGATGGAGTCTCACTCTGTCAACAGGCTGGAGTGCAGTGGCACGATATCTTGGCTCACTGCAATCTCCACCTCTGGGGTTCAAGCGATTCTCCTGCCTCAGCCTCCTGAGTAGCTGGGACTACAGGCACGTGCCACCACACCAAGCTAATTTTTGTATTTTTAGTACAGACAGGGTTTCGCCATGTTGGCCAGGATGGTCTCAGTCTCTTGACCTCATGATCTGCCCTCCTTGGTCTCCCAAAGTCTTGGGATTACAGGCGTGAATCACTGTGCCCAGCCTCAGATACAACTCGTTAGTGACAGTAGTCAAGTTACCCAAATTTTTCTACCTTATTCTTCTCACTTGTAGGATGAGTGTAATGATAGTCTTTCACAACTTTGTCATGAAGATTAGCATGTAGTTTATCATTAACATCATACCTGTTAAGCACTTAAAGCAGTATATAGCACATTGTAAATGCTATAGAAGTTAAATAAAACATACCACTTCCAATAAAATCAGCTAGATTAACCGTTCAGTCTAATCATATTCTATTGTGAGATAAAGTAGAAAATTGATTATTAGAAATAACAATATAATTAAAATATCTTTACTTTTATATCTATCCGTTAAATTTAATTGTAATCATGTACCAAAAACACAAACACAACAGTTAGAAAATCAGGTATTGAGAAAGAAAGGGATGTGAATGATATATGGTAGATCTTCCTACATGGCTTTAATGACATATAATATTCCATTTCTTTATGAAAATGTAATCAAATATGGCCAAAAATACTAGATTTTGTTAAAAGGCATAGTGGGAATATGACTATTGTATTTATCTGTACTGTATATATGTTTAAAATATTTAATAAAAAATTAAGATGACTTAAGGCTCACACATGTTTAATTTCAATCCTGTCTTTGCCAGTTACAAACTCTACGACTTTGGGCAAGTCATTTATTCTCTCTGTACTTCACTATCTTCTTATTTCTATGTTCAAATAAACCTTGAGATAATTCACAGAAAAATGAGGAATCCCAGATTTAACTGTTAATATATAAATATTGTAGCTAAAATTAAAGAGGAGAGAGTCACCAAATATTTCAATTTTCTTATTAAGTGCACAGTTGAAGAATGGCAATATGAAGAATCTCCACTATTAGTGACAGAATGGCTTAGGGATTGTTTCTGGAATTGATGCCTAACATACAGTCAAAGAGGAAGAAGGCAAACTTAATAAAATCCAAATAAAAGATTACAAAATTACGAGTAGTTTTGCCTTGAATAATTTGTCATAAAACCTATAAATTATGAAAAGTAATATCTCTAAAATTGAATAATAAGTGTACATTACTTAGAGCAATAAATTCCCATTCAAAATCCCTAGCAAAAGCAGTTCCTTTATGTGTAATAAAGAGGAGAAAAAAATTCAGAAGCAAATAGTGTACAATACAAGTTGAGAATCAAAGTCAATTTAATAATTTTTTTAAAAAATCCTTTTATAACTCGATCCTTTATGAAATTTGTAATTGCATAAGACAGAGTAGGGTTGTGTGGATCTTATATAATCATGTATATCAATGATTCCAACTCTGGTTGTTCATTACAACAAACTATGAAGATTTTATTTTTTAGATGGCTGACTAAAGATATGAAATGCAAGTACTCCTTAGAAAGAAGAGCCAAAATTACGAGTGAATAATCATGGCTCAAGTGGAGTACTGAGGGGAGAGTGATAAAACCCATTGGTTCAGAATTCATGTAAAGAAGAAAGAGGCTGGGGCACAAAACAAGAAGAAAGCTGGAGTTAGGCAGAGCTCAACTCCTGAGGAATTTAGAGTCCCATGGAAAAGATCGGTGGGGCTGTTTTTGGCTTCTCTCATCCTTGCATCAGACTGCTGGTTTCTTAACTTTCAGAGAGCACCTCAGCCCTTGTGAGCCCAAGCACTGGTGTGGGTGGCAATATGGGAAATGCCTGTGGGCAGAGCACTGGGCAGCCAACTCACGCAGTGTCTGTCACCTTCCCCACAGACCCCAGCTGAGCTGGCGGGTACCATATTTGCTGTGTGCCCATTATGGGCCACTGTTCTGTCCAGAAAGTCTTAACCCTTGTGTCTCTACATCACTGGATCCCCTGCCAACATAACTGAGCCCCATTCAGATGGCAGCAGCTACAGAGGGCTGGTGGTACACAGGGGAGCTGTGGGATTTCCAGAGATCTAGCCCTCAGGGTGGGCTGCTTTTAGGAGTAAGGAGAGTGAAGCATGTCAGAGCACCCCTAGGGACAAAGGAAACCAGAGTACACACTGTACTGTGCCTGAGAGCTCCAGGCTTGTGAGTTGAAGGTGACTGTGCCCTTTCAAGTGGAAATGCAGGTAGGTGCTGGGCTCTATAGGGGAGGAATAAGGTTCTTCCCCAGAGATGAGGTGACACCAGTGCCCAGAACAGATGTGAAAAGGGTGACTTCTCCTTCCCTGTCGCCCACTGCTGTGGATGCCACTGTGGCTATTCCCATGAGGTGCTGGCGTGGGTGTGCCAGTGGATGGCCATTCCAGAATATTAGGGTGGCTGCAACCCAACTGTCAGTGTGCCCACCAGGCCCAGACTTGCATAGAAGGCACAGCATTTCCCCCTCTCTACACAGAGTGGTAGCATTCCTGCAGCAGAGATCAGGTGACTGGCAAAGCCATCTGTTTTGCGCTGAGGTAAGAAGTTACCCTCCAAGGCCATTTGGAGGAAGAGTCACGAGAAAGTTGTTTTCTGTGGCCCTCAGCTACAATGCAGCCTGGAGATAGTGACAGTGTCTATCTAAGTTAGAAATCATGAGCCCTGGAGCAGGGGTGTGATAGAGAAGCGGATTACATTCCTGCCTGCCTGAGACATGAAGCTAGTGCAGCCCCTTCCCTCTGACCCCACCCACAGAAACCTCATTTCACCACAAGCTCCCCCTGCCACTTCCATTAGGGCTGGTGCTTATGCTTGTCATTGGGGTTCCCAAGGGTAAGCTTAGCAGGCCAGTGCCATCCAGTTTTGTTCCCAACACTGGGGCTTAGGAGCAAACTCAGGGCACCAGGCTTTCCACAGGCCAGTCTACCATCCAAGACCACAGAAAACTCCTCCCAGCTGACAAAGATCACATACCCATCAGCTTCTGCCACATCCAACTCTCACTCATAAATGCTCTACTGGCCAGAAAGCTTAACTGCACAATGCAGTACATAAGAGGCTAACAGAAGTGCACAGTTCTGTGGAACAAGATAAACTACCTGAGATCTCCCTAACCGTGGTCCTGCAGGAAATAATAATCTCATCATATGCTCAGCACATTGTCACTACAACTGATATTTGAGAGAGCCATCACACAAAGGCTATCTATAACCAAGAAACTCATACAGAGTCTTGGCCCCCTGAAAGTGCCCAGAATCAAAGCCAAAT
The DNA here is from genome assembly GCF_000001405.40 of Homo sapiens. Classification (NCBI taxonomy): domain Eukaryota; kingdom Metazoa; phylum Chordata; class Mammalia; order Primates; family Hominidae; genus Homo; species Homo sapiens. The sequence goes on from NC_000003.12 coordinate 104,099,306, forward strand.
AACTATACAGAGCATGTATTACAGTCACACACTCAAGGAAGCAAAAATAATTTTAAAGAAAGTCCCATCGAAACAAAGGCACATTCAAAAATAAGAAATGGCACTTTCTAAAGAAGAGAAAGAACCAGTGTAATAAATCTGGTGGTATTAAATAACAGAGTTTTTAAGACCCTCTCCACCAAAATAAAAAGGTCCCACTGGCTCTCAAGAAATGAGTTCTAACCAAATCGAAAATTCTGAAATGATAGATAAAAAATTCAAAAAAATAACTTGTCAGGAAACTCAATGAGATTCAAGAGAAAGTTGAATATCAACACAAAAACATCAGAAAATAATTCAGGATGTGAATGAAAAATTTACTAAAGAGATAGAAATTTTTTAAAAAAGAAACAATTGGAAATCAAAAAGTTCCTGGAGGAATTACAAAATATAGTTAAAAGCTTTAAGATATACTAGAACAAGCAGAAAAAAAGATTCATAAATATTACCTTTTCTGTACAATCTCACTAGCATGTGTTATTTTTGACTTTTTAATAATAGCCATTCTGACTGGTATGATATGGTATCTCACTGTGGTTATGATTTTCATTTCTCTAATGATTAGTGGTATTGAGAATTTTTTCATATTCTTATTGACCATGTGTATGTCTTCTTTTGATATCTGTCCATGTCTTTTGCTCACTTTTTTTGTTTTGTTTTGTTTTTGAGACAGAGTCTAGCTCTGTCACCCAGGCTGGAGTGCTGAGGCGTGATCTCAGGTCACTGCAACCTCCTCCTTCTGGGTTCAAGCGATTCTCCTGCCTCAGCCTCCCAAGTAGCTGGGATTATAGGCACCCACCACCACACCCAGCTAATTTTTGTATTTTTAGTAGATACAGGGTTTCACTGTGTTGGCCAGGCTGGTATCACACTCCTGACCTCATGATCCACCTGCCTTGGCCTCCCAAAGTGCTGGGATTACAAGCATGAACCACCACGCCCAGCCCCTTTGCCCAGTTTTTAATGGGTTGTTTTTTGCTTGTAAATTTGTTTAAGTTTCTTATAGATTCTGTATTTTAGACCTTCGTCAAATGTATAGTTTGAAAACATTTTCTCCCATTCTTTAGGTTCTTTTTACTTTGTTGATAGTTTCCTTTGCTGTGCAGAAGCTCTTCAGTTTAATTAGGTCCCATTTGTCAATTTTTGTTTTTGTTGTAATTGCTTTTGATGTTTTTGTCATAAAATATTTGCCAGGTCCTATGTCCAGAATGGTATTTCCTAGGCTGTCTTCCAAGATTTTTATAGTTTTAGGTTTTATATTTAAGCATTTAATCCACCTTGAGTTGATTTTTGTATGTGGTGTAAGGGGTCCGCTTTCAATCTTCTGCATATGGCTAGTCTGTTTTCCTAGCACCATTTATTGAATAGAAATGAGAATAATGTATATTCTATTGTTTGGAGGTAGAGAGCCCTGTAGTTGTCTATTAGCTTCATTTGGTAAAGTGTTGAGTCCAGGTCCTCAATATCTTTGTTAATTTTCTATCTAACACTGTCAGTGGGGTGTTGAAGTCTCCCACTGTTATTGCGTGGAAATTTAAGTCTCTGTGTAGCTCTCTAACAATTTGCTTTATCAGTCTAGGTGCTCCTGTGCTGGGTGCTTATACATTTAGGGTAGTTAGGTGTTATTTTTGAAGTGAACCCATCTTTGACTTTTTAAAAATCTTTGTTGGTTTAAAGTTTGTTTTGTCAAAAATTAGGATATCAACCCCTGCTTTTTTCTGTTTTCCATTTGCTTGGTAGATTTGTCTGTATTCCTTTATTTTGAACCCATGGGCATCACTGCATGTGGGATACATCTCTTGAAGACAGGATACCATTGGGTCTTGCTGCTTTATCCAGCTTGCCACTCTGTGTCTTTTAATTGGGGCATGTAGCCTGTTTATATTCAAGGTTAGTAGTGATGTGTGCAAATTTGATCCTGTTATCATGTTATTAGCTGGTTAATATGCAGACTTTTTTGTGTGGCTGCTTTATATTGTCAACGGTCTATGTACATAATTGTGTTTTTGGATTGGCTGGTAAGGGTCTTGGCCTTGTCTAGTTAATGCTCATTTCAGTACCTCTTATAAGGCAGATCTAATGTTAATAAACTCCCTCAGTTTGTCTGAAAAGGATCTTATTTCTCCTTCACTCATTAGTCTTAACTCACCTGAATATAAAATTCTTAGTTGGAATTATTTTCTAAGAGTTGAGAATGCTGATAATAGGCCCCCATTCCCTTCCGGCTTGTTTCTGCTAAAATGTCTACTGTTAGCCCGATGACGTTCCCTTTGTAGGTGACCTGCCCCTTCTCTCTAGCTGCCTTTAAAGGTTTTTGTTTGTTTGTTTCACTTCAACCTCTGAGAAACTGATTATTATGTGTCTTAGACATAGCCTTCTTGTGCAGTGTCTTGCAAGGGTTCTCTGCATTTCCAGAACTTGAATGCTGGCCTCTCTAGCAAGGTACTAATAGACAACATCCTGAAATATATTTTCCAAGTTGCTTGCTTTCTTCCCATCTTTTTCAGCGATGCCAATGAATCATAGGTGTGGTCTCTTTACATAGTCCCATATTTCTCAGAAGTTTTTTTCCTTCCTTTTTGTTTTGTGTCTGACTCATTTAGTTCTGAGACCAGTCTTCAAGACCTGAGATTTCTCCTTAGTGTAGTCTATTCTGCTGTTATTACTTGTGGTTGCATTATGCAATTCTTGCAGTGTGTTATTCTGCTCACATCTGTTTGGTTCTTTTTTATAATGTCCATTTTCTCTATCAGCTTCAATGTCATTTTACTGTAATCCTTAGATTCCTTGGATTGGGTTTCCAATTGCTCCTGAATCTCAGTGATCTTTGTTCCTATCTGTATTATGAGTTCTATTTCTGTAATTTCCATCATTTTAGCCTGTTTAATCACTCTTGCTGGGGAATAGTATGGTCATATGGGAAAAAGAAGACACTCTGGCTTTTTGAGTTGCCAGAGTTCTTGCACTAGTTCTTTCTCATCTGTTGTTCTATTACTTGTGGCATAATTTGAGTGCAGTCAGTAAACTTCTTTTCTGAATGTTTTCAGAGGACCAGAACTTTGTGCAGGGTATTTGTTTGTAGCTGAATTCTTGTCTTTGGTTTCACAGGGATGTGTATCAGTCAAGTATTTTTGGTGTTTGCATTTCGTCTGTGATCCAGTAGATGGCGCTTAAGCATATTGACCAGTAGGTAGGCTCTTGCTCAGCCATGTGGCTCCAGTGTATTTCCTCCCAATTGCAGCTGCGCTACCCTCTCACTGCTCTGAAAATGTGGACTCCTCTCCCACTGGAGTGCTGGCTGCATATATCAGCTTGACACTCCTGGGCTGCACACTGCAGCTCTAGGGTGAGCTCAGGCTTTATGTTCTCACCCCAGCTTGAAGACAACAGGGGAAGGGACCTTGGCAGTGATTGTGGTAGATGACCTTTTACTTGTTTCTTGGGGTTCCACCCCAGAGAGATGCAGAACCACTATTAATCAGTACAATCGACCAGGGTGGAGTGGCTGTGCTGTGGGATTAAGCCAAGGGGGGTCTCGCCTGGTGATAAACAGGTGGGACAGGGATGTCATAGGGGAGACAAAGTGGCCTCTTCTCCTTAAGGAAACTACAGCTTGCTGGAGGTGTGGTTAAAGCCCTCCGAGTGTTTGTTACTTCCTAAGTCTGAGGGCAGAAAGGGCAGTACTGTGCAGTGGCAGTGACAGAGGGGCTTTTGGTTATCTCTGGGTGCTTCACCTTAGAAAAATGTGGAGCCATTGCTGCTGGGCATGTTCAACCAAAATGTGAGGCACTACACAGCTAGCCCAAGCTAAGGGCTCCACTTGGTGAAGAACTAGGGCTTGAGGGCTCAAAGGGAGGAGGAAACACTGGGCTCCTCTCCATATGGGGGCTGTGGTGTACTAGTAGGACAAGTGAAGCCCTCAGGCTCTTTGTCTCTTCTGTTTCTTCTCCAGACTGAAGGCAGCAGGGGCAAAACCACTGCTGTTGTTGTGGCAGAGGGGCTGTTGGTTGCTTCTGGGAACCCCTCTCCAGGGAAACACAGAGCCAGTAACAGTGAGTATGCTCACTAGGGGTGGGGCAACTGTTCTGCAGTCCCAAGCCAGGGGCCCTTCCTGGTAAAGAGTACGGGTGGGAGCTCACAGGGAGGAGAGACTGGGGTTCTCTTCGCATGTTGGCTGCAACGAGATGGAGGTGCCAGTGTAGCATCCAGACCCTTTTTCCCTTCCCCAGCTCAAGTGTAGTTAGTGCAATACCGCTGCAACTGCAATGGAAGAGGGGCTGTGTGTTGTCTCTGGGATTTCCTCCTCAGAGAAATGCAGAGCTGCTTCTGACTGAAGTGTTCAACTGGGGGCAGGGTGGTTGTCCTGGAGTCTTAGGCCAAAAGGGTCCACCCAGTGAGAAGTGGGAATGAGGATGTGTATGGAAAACAGTCTGACCAGTTTTCCATGGGGCAACTGCACTGTGCTAGGGATCTGCACCAGAAGCTAGTCACCACTCACATTTCAGAGCCTGAGGGCAACAGCAGTGAGGGCTAAGAGGCAGCAAAAATGGTGGCCTGCCTCTCCCTCTGGGAGCTCCATCCCAGAGAATGGCAAAGCTGCTAAAAGCACTAGAGCCCAAGTGCAGCTGGTGTGGCCATGCTAGGGCCCCATGACAGTGGGCTTTATCCTACAAGGTGCAGTGGAGTCGAGGCCTGCAGTCCATTGCTACTCAGATGCATGGATTCAGCCCCTTTCCTGGGGGCATGTGAAGGAATCTGACCTCCCCCATTGCCAGAGATTCAACTGTTTTTCTGTTGTTTTTTTGTTTGTTTTGTTTTTGTTTGTTTGTTTATTTGTTTTTTGAGAGAGAGTCTGGCTCTGTCGCCCAGGCTGGAGTGCAGTGGCGCAATCTCGGCTCACTGCAAGCTCTGCCTCCCCGGTTCACGCCATTCTCCCGCCTCAGCCTCCTGAGTAGCTGGGACTATTGGTGCCCGCCACCACGCCCAGCTAATTTTTTTGTATTTTTAGTAGAGATGGGGGTTTCACCGTGTTAGCCAGGATGGTCTCGATCTCCTGACCTCGTGATCCACCCGCCTTGGCCTCCCAAAGTGCTGGGATTACAAGCGTGAGCCACCGCACCCGGCCAAGATTCAACTGTTAATGCTGGGGTGCCTGGGGATTCAAGGCTCCTGGGACTCTGTGTACATCTGAAAATACACTATGTGTGTACTATGTAGTGCCCTACATAGCCCTCCTTGTCGGTCTAAATGCTCCAGGAGATCTCCTGAAACCAGGATGGCAAAGGTCTGTGGCAGAAATGTGGGTACCCAGGGACTCACCATTTCCTTATGGTATTGGGGCCTCTCCATCTCCATCCCACTACCAGGTGGGCAATTGTCCTGTTTTGCTCCTCTCCATTCTCCATGTGTCAAATTGTTTTTTTGATGAATCCCAATGTGGCTACTTGAATGTTCCATTTGAAGAGGTATTATTTACTCACCATTTCTTCCTCTTTCAGTGAGAGTGGTGCACACTAGCTGCTTCTAGCAAGCCCTCTTAGGCCAGTAGCAGTTCTATACACCAATAAAATAAGGCTGAGGAATACATAAAAAACTCAATCCCATTTGAAATAGCTATAAGAAAATACCTAGACATACATTTAAACAAGGAGGTGAAATAACTCTATAAGGAGAAGTAAAAAACAATGATGAAAGAAATTATGGATGCCACAAACAAATGAAAATGCATCTCATGCTCATGGATTAGAAGAATCAATGTCTTTAAAATAACCATGCTGCCCACAGCATTCCACAGTTTCAGTGCAATTTCTATCAAATTATTAAAATCATTTTAAACAGACTTAAAAAAAATTCTAAAATTCATACAGAACCAAAAAAGAGCCCAACTAGCCATTCAAAGGAAAACAAACAAACCTGAAGGCATCACATTCTCTGACTTCGAATTATAGTACGAGTCTATACTAACCAAAGCAGCATGGTACTGGTATAACAGCAGACACATAGATAAATGGAACAGATTAGAGAATCCAGAAGCAAAGCCACCTACATACAACCAACTAATTTTTGACAAAGTTGATAAAAATAAACAATGGGGAATGGACATCATATTTAATAAATGATGCTGGGAGAACCGGATAGCCATATGCAAAATAATGAAATTGGACCCTTATCTCTCACTGTATTAGTCAGGGTTCTCCAGAGGGACAGATTATACATATATATATACACACACACACACACACATTATATATATACATCATATAGATATACACATTCAGGGGAGTTTTAACTCACGCAATCACAAAGTCTCACAATAGGCTGTCTGCAGGCTGAGGAACAAGGAAAGCCAGTCTAAAGAGTCCAATGTTCCAGGGCAGGAAGCATCCAGCACGGTAGAAAAATGTAGGCTGGGAGGCTGGGCCAGTCTTGCCTTTTCACGTTTTTCTGCCTGCTTTATGTTTGCTTGCAGCTGATTAGATTGTGCCCACCAGATTAAGGGTGGGTCAGCCTTCCCCAGCCCACTCATTCACATGTTAATCTCCTTTGGCGACACCATCACAGACACACCCAGGAAGAATACTTTGCATCCTTCAATCCAATCAAGTTGACACTCAGTATTAATCATCACACTCACATATATAAAATTAACTCAAGATCGATTATAGGCTTAAATGTAAGATCTGAAATTATACAAATCCTAGAAGAATACCTAGGAAAAACTCCTGTGGACATTTACATAGACAAAAAAAATTATGACTATCTCCTCAGAAGCAAATGCAATAATAACAAAAATATACAAATGGGATTTAATTAAACTAAAAATCTTCTGTACGGCAAAAGAAATAATCAACAGGGTAAACAGACAATCTACAGAATGGGAGAAAATATTTTCGAACCATGCATTCAACAAAGGGTTAATACCCAGAATCTACAAGAATTCCAAATAACTGAACAAGAGAAAAACAAATAACTTTATTAAAAAGTGGGCGAAGGACAGAAACAGACAGTTTACAAAAAAGACATATGAGTGACCAACAAACATGAGGAAATTCTCCACATCCCTCATCATCAGAGAAATGCAAATTAAAACTGCAATGAGACACCATCGTATACTGGCCTGAATGGCTATTATTAAGTCAAAAAACAACAGATGTTGGTAAGGCACAGAGAAAAAGGAATGTTTTTACACGTTGGTGATCATGTAAATTAGCACAACCTCTATGGAAAACAATATGGAGATTTCTCAAAGAGCTAAAAATAGAGCTACCATTCAATTCAGCAATCCCTCTACTGGATATCTACCTAAAGGAAAATAAATCATTGTGTCAAAAAACACCTGCACTCACATATTTACACAGCACTATTCACAGTAGCAGAGTCATGGAATCAGCCTATGTGTCCATTGATTGGTGATTGAATAAATAAAATGTAATACATATATATCATGGAATATTACGTAGAGGCTTAATTTCTCTCTAATGTTTCACTGTTTATCATCTGAATTGGCAAGTTCCTTTCCAGTCAACAAATACTAAATACCAACTATGTTTAAGGCAACTATGTCAAGGGTCATATAAATAAAAGCTAACCTAAGTCTGCCCTTGAATACTTTATCTCTTAAGGGCATGAAACAAGCACACATTATTTATTTTTTAAATATATTATATATTAAAATATTTTTAATCCTAAAAACTATTATTCAAAGGAGGAAACCACATGGTATGACTATAGTTGTCCTTATGTAAAACGGAGGCAACCTATGTTGGTGCACTGGGCTCCCAGCCCTGGTAATGTTCACGAGGTAATGGTATTTACTGCTGCCTTATAATTTACATAAAATGTTAAGGAAATAAAATTAAAGGGTTTTTAATGCCTTTACCAGAGAACACAAGGCAGCAAGTATATTACCTTCCTCTTTTACAAAATCAATAATCTTTCTGTAAGTACATTTTACAGTTGTATAAAAAATATTGTGAAACATGTAAGCACAAAAGCTAAGCCACTTGACCTTTACTTGGAGAAACAAAGGAAAGGGTTAAGATAAGGCTCCAAGTACCTTTTCCGCTGGTAAAGTTGTCCAGATTAAAGCACCTTGCACCAACACATAGCACAGTGGGTCAGAAGATCTAAATGTCCTTACACATCACCTGATGTTTTTGTCTACTTTTGTAGCAAATGGTATGACAAAATGTATGTCTATGCTACTCTGTATATTGTAAGAGCAGGACTATATTCATAGTTGTCTGTCATATTTTGCATCTTAATTTCTATTCTCCTTTCTCTTTAAGTCAGGAAGATGTCTCTAATACAGTCAAAATAAAACTCATTTAGAATTGGCCTGAAAAGTTATTCCCAAATTTAACTGAAATAGTGAATTTAAAGAACTTTATAACTGATCACATATAACTCTTCCACAAAACTAAATTATTGTAACTTCATTCCTCAAATTAAGTTAAATGAAAAAATATATATTAGAAAGCCCTGGGCAAGGAGTCAATGACTTTGGTATATCCTGCTTCCTGATTTAATCAGTTACTTTTTCCATGACCACAGGAAAGTATTTCGAGTTCTGATTCTCTTTTTCTTTATCTTGAAAATATGATAAAAGGGATTATTGGATTGTTTGTGTCACACACAAGCAAGATGTCTAAGTATGTTGTTTACAAAGAGGACATAGTGGCAATGAATAAATTCATGGACTCTAGAAATTGAGGGAAGTAAGAGAGGTATTTTAAAGGCGTTAAAATGACACTTAAATTTTAAAAGATTATTCTCCAAACAAATTTATTTTAATCAAAAGATTTTATTTTCTAACCTATAATTCTAATAATAAACAATAAGTAATATTTGGTCCTGTACCATGTGTGTGTATGTGTGTGTGTGTTCAATATTTAGGATTAATTTAGAGACAGAATATTTAAACACTCTTTCTAAGTGTCTTGAAAAATGGACCCTGATACAACCCCTTGGGGGGATATTGTTTATGTGGGACCTGATCCAAGGAAGAGCAAATAAGGAAGTAGGAAAAGTGAGGCAGTGAAAGGAGAAAATATAATTATGGGTGAATTAACGCAAAGGTCACTTTTGTGACCACCTATAAATTTAATTCCACTGGAGACCCTTGAAGGAATAGTGCAGAGCACATTTCAGACTTGTTTCCTTGAGGATACATTTTTTGGGTAATATATCCACTAATGTCTACCTTTTACTGATTAAGCATTGACCATGGAGATGTGAAAACTCAGCACTTCCATACTCTCTTCTTTGTGGTCTGAAGGACCCTCTATGGATCTGGAGAACACTCCCAGGCAGAGAAGCAGAGATGCAGGCTCTTGAGGAAGGAAGCCTTCAGCATACACATAAAAATTCCACTGCAGCTATAAAGAGCTTCCGGATGGGCAGAAAGGATACACATAGGGCGGGGAAACCACAGCATATGTTATACAATTAAATGGATAGCTGTATTTGCACTCTAATAATGAAAGTTAATGCAAGTATTATAAATTATGAGAATATAAAAATATAATTATATAATTTAGACATGGGAGAAAAGAAGAGGAAAATAATTTAAAACAATAAAAATGAATTTAAAATAACTAAAATATAGAATAAAAAACTGGGAGTTGGTTAGGTGGGAAAAAAAGGTAGAAGGCAATGTATGTGCCCCATATTCTGTGCTTTTTCAGTCTGGGCTATCAGTACTTGTTTCTACAGTTGATGCATCCATAAATAGAGACATAAATGAATTATTTATCCTTATCATAGTAATTATGAGAAGAATTAAACTTGGAAATTTTAAACATGATTTCCTCTAGAGAGGTGGAGTGGAATTGAGAATTGTGAGCTGACAAAACAATTTCTTACTCTTTTATATAATTATTTTCTAAACTCATGTATTTATATCGGATTGATTTTTTTTTTCTCAGAAAATTAAACTGCTAGGCATAGTGAGAGAAGTGAAGAGTATGAGATAACAGTGCATGATGATGACATAGTTTAAGCTTTAATATGGTCTCATGATTTTATAATACTAGGTCTTGTGTATGTCATAAAGGTTGTAGTCACTATTTCAAATATTTTCATGTAAAAATAATTAAAATTATTCTTAAATTAAGTGTTATTTTATAGAATATATTTGATATCAAAGAGTCATCATAATTTAATTCATAAGCTTTGACTTCCTTCTGTTTTTACATCAATCATTTTAGGCTGAAAGTATTATTGTTTCAAACATTAGGTGGATCTACTGTACTGAAATTGGGACAGAAAACCAATTCTGTTTAAAGGTAAGAGCTATTTACCTTGGTGACACTGACACAATAATGAAATGGAAGGCAGTTGTCCCAATAATGACTCTTGATCAAACTTTATGTACAGTTTCCCAATAGGGCACATTTTATACTGTAGAATTCTTACAGAAAGAAAAAGCATTGAAGAGGCCGAGAACAGAGCAGCACTGTTGGAATTTGTACTGACTACATGCTAGAAAATTACACACAGTAAGATTTAAATGGCTCATAGAACTTTTTCTGCTTCTTTCACACCTGCAATGTTATTGTTTTTCTCTTGTGCAGTGGTGGCAGAAACACTATGTTTTTTAAAGTTATTAAGCAGATATTTATTTTAAAAATAAAATGTCAGATATTGTAGTAGTTGAAGACACTGAAATATTTTGATATTCGAAGTGATGGTTGAAACTAAGTAATTTCCTAAGTAACTTAGGAAAAGTCAATCCTTAAATTGACATTGTCATTATTTAAATTCTGAAAATATTTCTTGATAATTTCCCCTTTTATAAAAAGTCAAAACAATAGAAGCAAGGCGGAATGGAAATCTATCCTTTCTCCCTCTCTCATGCACCTCTATGATGTTCTTAGGTTAGGAGTCACTTCATTTTTAATTTTAAAATTATTACAAAGTTAACACAAGCATGCAGTTTTAAAAATATTAAGTGTTTCAGAAAAGTAAAATAATAAAATGTGATAGTATCCAATTCTACCACCGCCAACCCCACCTCTAACCCACAAGCCAAATTTATAAATTGTTTATTAACTCTACTATTTGAAGTTTGATAATTCATTTAATTAACTTTATATCTACATTTATTTTTCAATCCTCTCCCAATATTTTCTTAGTTATATACTTTTTTCAGCTTTTTTTGGTCTTTCTAATTCTAAAATTTGTTTAAATCTCCATTTTCCTATCTATCCATCGTAAACTCATTACTCTAAACCTTGATTATCTACAAAAGGACACAATTTCCACTCTTACTACTTTCTTGTTCAATCTTCCCTGCCCCTAAATTTTATCTGGTGTCCATTATATTTAACAATTATCATAGCCAAGATATTGACATGCATGTGTATAATTAGTTTATCTATACAATTAATCTATGCTTTAACTATAATTTGATTTAAAAAATCAATGTGATATGGTGACATAACAAGAAATATATATTTGATCTTCCTCTCTGGTTCTTGGCACAGAGTTTCTAAAATCTTTGTAACCTCAGGAGTGTTAAGATTGATAGGAGTGTAATTTTATATTCATAACAAGTCCCTTTTAATCACACCTGAGTTGGTGTCTGGAAGTTCCTAGATGACTTCAGGATGGGGCTGGTTGACAGAAAAAGCAATCATGTGATTAGAGGTTTGGAAATTTCAGCTCCATTCATGGGGGACTTCAGGGAGAAGAGAAATTCTGGGAGTTGCATTTATCACCTAAAGCCAATAATTTAACCAATCATGCCTAATTATATAGTGCCTACATAAAAACCCTAAATGAAGGGATTCAGAGAGCTTTCACATTGGTGAAAGCATCCATGGGCTGAGAGAATGGCCCTAACTCTCTGGGACAGAAGCTCCTGCCTTCAGGACCTTTCCAGACCTCTTCCTATCCGCCTCTTCATCTGGGTATTCTTCTGTATGCTTTATAATATCCTTGATTTTAAACCATTCAATGTAAGCAAATTCTTTTTCTGCCTTTTATCAGCTGTTCTAATAAATTGTGAAACATAAGGAGGGTGACATGAAACTCCTAATGATGTGTAGCCAATTGATCAAAAGTATGGATGGCCTGGACTTGTAATGGGCATCTGAAGCAGGAGCAGTCTTGTGAGACTGAGCCTTTATCCTGTGGGTTGTTACATGAACTCTGGATAGTTTGCATCAGAATTGAATTGAGTCTAGTTGGTTTCCAGTGAGTTCCAATAGTGGATGTTAATATGAGAAAACACCACACATTTCGTGTAAGAAGTTTTGTGAGTAGAAATGTATCATAGTAATAGTAGTTTGTCTCAAAAGTATGATTTACTAGACTGGCTTTGAATCAAGGAAATGTGTTTTGGGAAGAGAAATGATAAAAAGTCAGAAGATAATAGTTGGTTCCTGGATGAATACCTAGTCACCCATGGTATAAAACTGTAGCTGTACTGTAATCTGTTACTAAAAGTAAAAATTATTGATTGAACTTAGAAGTGCTGGTAGACCTGGCTTTCATGTAGTTGGCTTATGGGATTTTTAAGAAAAAGTAAAATAGTAAGAAACATGTTAAACATAAAATCCCTTTGTAATTGTTACCTGCAGTAGCTAAGGTGAATGATGCTAAAACAAGCTCAGATTTTGACCAGCCTAAACTTAAACCACTGGCCTCAAAGTTGACCACAAAGGAATAAATTATGCCAGGACAACAGAAAGTACCTCTAAGACCTCTAGTCACCACTAAGACAATCAAGGTGGCGGTGGTGGGTGGTGGTATGAAGAAACTACCAAAACCAGGAGAGAAGAGTGTAAAAAATGTATCATTTTATAAACTAATATCATCAGCTTCTTTTTTGAAAGGAAAATTTATTAATGAAATCTTTATTAAAATAAATTGTGATAGACTAATTTAAGGGAAATGTGTGTAAGCCCATTTCTGTTACTATAACTGAATACCTGAGAATGGGTAATCTATTAAAAAACTGAATATCCTTAAAGTTCTGGATGCTGGGAAATCCAACATCTAGAAGCTGCATCTGGTGAGGACCTTCTTGCCAGTGAGGACTCTGTGGAACCCCAAGGCAGTACAGGGAATCACAGAGTGAGGATGGTGAAGGTGAGAGCTTAGGTCTCTCGTCTTTTTTTTTATACAGCCACCTGTCCTAGTCCCACTCCCATCACAGTCCATTAATTCAGTCACTTATTAATCTATTAATCAATGAATGGATTAATCTATTCATAAGAAATGAGCCCTGAGTGCCCAATTACCTCTTAAAGGCTCACTTCCCAATATTGTTACATTGGGGATTAAGTTTCAATATAAGTTTTGATGGAGCCAAACATTTAAAGCATTGGACAATGTTTTTGGTTTTTAATGCTGCAGAGTAGAAGAGAATGCTTGGGTTGATAAACATCCTGTAGTTAGAGAAAATGATATTTGTGTGCTGTTTAGCCTATGACTTATTTTATTGAGTATTATGCTTATAAAATTTGTTTAAGAGAGGAGACCAAGATGGCCAAGTGGAAGCAGCTGCAGTCCACAACACTCACAAAGAAGAACAAAAGTGTCGAGTGGGTACAGCACCTTCAACCAAAATATCCAGGTACTTGTATTGGGACTGATCAGGGAAGCAACTCAACTATGGAGAATGAGGAAAAGCAGAGCAGGATGACAGCCCACCCAAGAGTGACACAGAGCCAAGGAAACACCCACTCCCAGCCAAGGAAGGTGGTAAGTAAATGAGCGACTCTGGGAAACCACACTTCTTCCATGGATCTTCACAAGCCTCAGATCAGGAGGTCCCCTTGTGAGCCCACACCACCAGGGCCTTGAGTCTGATACACAGAGCTGTATGGAGTCACGGCAGAGCATCTGCTCAGGCATGCACAGATACCCAGGAGCTTTACATACTCCTGGGATCCCTCACAAAGGTGACTGCAACTCAGGTAAGGTGGGACATCTGTACATACCCCTAGGAAGGGTGCCAAATCCAGGGAGCCAATCAGCATAGATCTGAGGTCCCCACGTCCATGGCACCTCACAAGATAAGACCCACAGGCTTGGAATTCCAACGAGCCACTGGCAACAAGTGGAACCTGCCTGAGGCAGGACAGAGCTCCCAATGTGGGGAGGGCGGGCCACCATCTTTGATGTTTGGTCCACTCTGTCGTTCCAGTATGTGGCCTTTGGAGAGTCTAAATGGTCCAGACAAGGAAGGGTCCCCCCAGCACAGCACAGCTGCTCTACCAGAACATAACCAGACTGCTTTTTTAAGTGGGACCCTATTCCATTCCTCCTGACTGCATAGGACCTCCAGGCCAGGGCCTCCAGCCATCCTCGCCTGCTCATATTCTACAGACAGAACTCTGATCTCTTCCTGGGACAGAGTATCTGGCAGAGGAGAGGGTCACCACCTTGCTTGTTTGGATGATGAAGCTCTTTTAGCCTGTAGATTTGGAGAGTCCAAGCTGATCAGGGCAGAGGTGGTTCCTCAGCATGGCATGGCTGTTTTGTTGAGGCACGGCCAGACTGCTTCTTTAAGTGGCACTCAGATCCTTTCCACTTTGCTGGATGGATCCTTTCAGCCAGGGCTTCTGGCTACCACAGCCCATATTCTATGGCCAACGGTTCTAATTTTTCCCTGGGATGGAGTGGCAAGGGGGTAGGGTGAACCATCACCTTGGCTGTTTAGGGGTCTCAGCCAGTCCAGTCTATAGGCTTTTGAAAGCCCAAACCAATCAGTGACTGAAGGACTCCCCAACAAAACACAGCTGCTCTACCAAAAAGCAGCCAGAATGCTTCTTTAAGCAGGACCTTAATCCCATTCTTTCTTACTGGGTGAGACCTCCCAACAGGGGTCTCCAGACACCTCCTGTGGGCACATTCAGGCTGGCAAAGGTAACTACCCCCTGGGATGGAGCTTCCAGAGGAAGGGGCAGGCTGCCATCTTTGCTGTTTCACAGGCCTCACTGGTGATACCTCCAAGTACTAGAAAAATTGAGGCAACTAGAGTCTGGAGTAGAACCCCAAGAAACTGCAGCATTCCTACAGAAGAGTGGACAGAATGTTAAAAGAAAAAGAAACAGGCTGGGTGCAGTGGCTTATGCCTGTAATTCCAGCTTTTTGGGAGGCCAAGGCTGGTGGATCACAAAGTCAAGAGATCAAGACCATCCTAGCCAACGTGGTGAAACCCCGTCTCTACTAAAAATACAAAAAATTAGCTGGGCATGGTGGAATGCACCTGTATTCCCAGCTACTCGGGAAGCTGAGGTAGGAGAATCACTTGAACCCAGGAGGCAGAGGTTGCAGTGAGCTGAAATCACACGACCACACTCCAGCCTGGTGACAGAGCGAGACTCCATCAAAAAAAAAAAAAAAAAAAAAGAAACAAACAAACAGAAAACAACAACAACCAAAAAATAACACAAAAACTCCATCCAAAGGTTATCAATCTTGAAAACAGAAGGTAGATAAGCACACAAAGATGAGAAAAAAATCAGTTCAAAAACACTGAAAACTCAAAAATCCAGAGTGCCCACTTTCCTCCAAATGATCACAACACCTCTCCAGTAAGGGTTCCAAGCTGCAGTGAGGCTGAAATTGTTGAAATGACAAAAATGGGCTTCAGAATGTAGACAAAAAGGACTTTGCTGAGCTAAATCTTTGTTATGACCTGAAATCATAACAAAGTTTTTTGGACCACACTGCAATCAAATTAGAAGTCAAGACTGCATGGAAATTGGACAAGCTGCTCCTGAACAACTCTTGGGTAAATAATGAAATTAAGGCAGAAATCAATAAGTTTTTTGAAACTAATGAGGTCAAAGTTATAATATACCAAAATCATGGGATGCAGCTAAAACAGTGCTAAGAGGAAAATTTATGGCACTAAATGCCCACATCAAAAAGCTAGAAAGATCTCAAATGAACAACATAAGATCACAACTAAAAGAACTAGAGAAACAAGAGCAAACAAACCTCAAGCCTAGCAGCATACAAAAAAATAACTAACGTCAGAGCTGAACTGAAAGAGACTGACACACCAAAAAACCTTCAAAAGAATAAATGAATCCAGGAGCTTTTTAAAAAACAAGAATAATAATAAAATAGACAACTAGCTAGACCAATAAAGAAGAAAAGAGAGAAGATACAAATAAATACAATCAGAAATGAGTGAAATATTATCACTGACCCCACAGAAATACAAACAACCAACAGAGAATAGTATACACACCTCTATGCACATAAACTAGGAAATCTAGAAGAAATGGATACATTCCTGGACACATACACCATCACAAGACTGAACCAGGAAGAAACCTCATCCCTGAATAGACAAATAATGAGTTCTGAAATTGAGGCAGTTATATAGCCTACCAACACAGCTGAATTCTACCAGAGGTACAAAGAAAATCTGGGTCCATTCCTACTGAAACTATTCCAAAAAATTGAAAAGGAGGGATTTCTGCATCACTCGTTCTATGAGGCCAGCATCATCCTGGTACCAAAACCTGGCAGAGATACAACAGCAAAAGAAAACTTCAGGCAATTCCCTTGATGAACATTAGTGCAAAAATCCTCAGCAAAATACTGGCAAACCAAATCCAGTAACACATCAAAAAGCTTATCCAACAGGATCAAGTAGAGACTTCAACCCCAGGATGCAAAGTTGGTTCAACATACACAAATCAATAAATGTGATTCATCACATAAACAGAACTAAAGACAAAAACCACATGATTAGCTTAATAAATTCAGAAGAGGCTTTAGATAAAATTCAATATCGCTTCTTGTTAAAAACTCTCAGTTAACTAGGTATTGAAGAAACATATCTCACAATAATAAGAGCCATATATGACAAACCCACAACCACAGCCAATATCATACTGAGTGGGCAAAAGCTGGAAGCATTCCCTGTGAAAACAGGCACAAGACAAAGATGACCTATCTTACCACTCCTATTCAACATATTATTGGAAGTTCTGGCCAGGGCAATCAGGCAAGAGAAAGAAATAAAGCATATTTAAATAGGAAGAGAGGAAGTCAAATTATCCCTGTTTGAAGATGACATGGTCCTATATTTAGAAAACCCCATTGTTTCAGCCCCATAACTTTTTAAGCTAATAAGCAACTTCAGCAAAGCCTCAGGATACAAAATCAATGTGCAAAAATCACAAGCATTACTATACACCAACAACAGGCAAGTTGACAGCCAAATCACAAGTGAACTATCATTCATGATTGCTCCCGAAAGAATAAAATACCTAGGAATACAGCTAATGAGGGAAGTGAAGGAACTCTTCAAGGAGTACTAGAAACCACTACTCAAAGAAATCAGAGATGACACAAACAAATGGAAAAACATTCCATGCTCATGGATAGGAAGAATCAACATTGTGAAAATGGACATATTACCCAAAGCAAGTTATAGATTCAATGCTATTCCCATTAAACTCCCATTGACATCCTTCACAGAATTAGAAAAAACTATTCTAAAATTCATATAGAATCAAAGAGCCTGAATAGCCCAGGAAATCATAAGCAAAAAGAGCAAAGCTGAAGGCATCATGCCACCTGACTTCAAACTGTACTACAGTGCTACAGTAACCAAAATAGCCTTGTACTGGAACAAGAACAGACACATAGACCAATGGAACAGAATAAAGAATGCAGAAATAAGACTGCACATCTGCAACCATCTGATCTTTGAGAGATCAAAACAAGCAGCAGGGAAAGGATTTTCTATTTAATAATTGGTGCTGGGAGAACTGACTAGCCATATGCAGAATTTTGAAACTGGACCCCTTCCTTACACCATATACAAAAATCAATTCAAGATGAATTAAAGACTTAAATGTAAAACCCAAAAGTATAAAAACCCTGGAAGAAAGCGTAGTCAATATCATTCAGGACATAGGCATGGGCAAATATTTCATAATGAAAATACCAAACACAGTTGCAACAAAAGCAAAAATTGGCAAATGGGATCTAACTAAACTAGAGAGCTTCTGCACAGCAAAATAAACTATCATCAGAGTGAACAGACAACCTACAGAATGGGAGAAAATTTTTGCAGTCTATCTATCTGACAAAGGTCTAATATCCAGAATCTATAAGGAACTTTAACAAATTTACAAGGAAAAAAAATTCCTGATAAGGTTTGGCTGTCTCTCCACCCAAACCACATCTTGAATTGTAGCTCCCGTAATTCCCTTGTGTTGTGGAAGAGACACAATGGGAGATAATTGAATCATGGGGGCAGTTTCATCCATACTGTTCTTGTGGTAGTGAATAAGTCTCATATGATCTGATGGTTTTATAAGGGGAAACCCCTTTTGCTTGGCTTCCATTCTTTTCTCTTGTCTGCCGCCATGTGATTCATGCCTTTCGCCTTCCACCATGATTGTGAGGCCCCCACCCCAGCCACGTGGACTGTGAGTCCATTAAACCTCTTTCTTTTGTATATTTCCCAGTCTTGGGTATGTCTTCATCAGTAGCGTGAGAACTAATACACAACCCCATTAAAAAGTGGGCAAAGAAGATGAACAGATACTTCTTAAAAGAAGGCGAAGCTGTGGAGAAAAAACCTGAAAAAAACCTCAACATCGCTGATCATTAAATAAATGCAAATCAAAACCACAATAAGATACCATCTCCTGCCAGTCAGAATGGTGATTATTAAAAAGTCAAAAAGCAACAGATACTGGTGAGGTTGTAAAGAAAAAGAAGCACTTTTACATGGTTGGTGGGAGGGGAAATTAGTTCAGCCATTGTGGAAGACAGTGTGTTGATTCCTCAAAGACTTAGAACCAGAAATACCATTTGACCCAGCAATCTCATTACTGGGTGCATACCCAAAGGAATATAAGTCATTCTGTTATAAAGATGAGTGCACACTTATGTTCATTGCAACACCATTTACAGTAGCAAAGAAATGGAATCAACCTAAATGCCCATAAATGATAGACTGAATAAAGAAAAGGTGGTACATATATACTATGGAATACTATACAGTCATAAAAAAGAAGGAGATCATGTCCCTTGCAAGGACATGGGTGGAGTTGGAAGCCATTATCCCCAGCAGGAACAGAAAACCAAACACTTCATGTTCTCACTTATATGTGGGAGCTGAATTATAAGAACACATGGACAAATGGGGGGAAGCACACACTGAGGTGTGTCAGAAAGTGATTGGGTCGGGGAGGGAGAGCATCAGGAATAAAAGGTAATGGATGTGGAGCTTAATACCTATGTGATGGGTTGATCTGTGCAACAAACCACTATAGCGTACGTTTGCCTATGTAACAAACTTGCACACCCTGCATATGTACCCCTGAACTTTAAATCACAGTTGAAGAAAAGAAGGAAAAAAAGAACCTGACCAGGTTGAATGGCAGCCTGAAAACCTAAGAGGCATTGCTCTGAGAGACATTTTGTTTTTATGACATGTTGATAAACTATTAATGGCCAAATGGAACTCTAGTAATGTGCCAGTATCTTTTGACTCTTTTTTTTCAACCTACATCTACTACAAAGGATACCATTTAGGAAGGAAATTGTTAAACCTGCTTCCTACTGGGATTTCTATTCTTTTGGAGCCCTCCCCATGAATCTTTCAAAATCCTGTTATGAAAATATTGGCATTTTCTAGTGTGTACTTCAAAACTTTTTAGTCTCTACCCATTCCCCAATTCCAAAGCTGCTTCCACATATTTAGGTATTTGTTAAGAGCGGCATCCCACTTATTGGTACCAATTTCTGTCTTAGTTCTGGCTATCCAAGCAATTACCATACACTGGGTGGCTTAAACAATAGAAAATTATTTCTCACAGTTCTGGAGGCTGGAAAGTCCTATATTAAGGTGCTGACTGATTCAGTTTCTGATGAGAAAGCTTATCAAGGTGCTGACTGATTCAGTTTCTGATGAGAAAACTTTTTACGTGTGGCCATCTTTTATTGTATCTTCACATGGTATAGAGCAGAGAGAGAGAGAAAGCAAGCTCTTTTGTTTCTCTTCTTATAAGAGCATTAATCCCATTCATGAGGGATTCATCTTCCTCATCTAGTTACCTCCCAGAGGTCTTACTTCCAAGTACCATCACACTGGGGGTCAGGCTTCAACATATGAATTTATTTTTTAAATTTTTTAAAATCTTTTTTATTATACTTTAAGTTCTAGGGTACATGTGCACAATGTGCAGGTTTGTCACATATGTATACTTGTCCCATGTTGGTGTGCTGCACCCAATAACTCATCATTTACATTAGGTATATCTCCTAATGCTATCCCTCCCCCCTCTCCCCACTCCACACACAGGCCCTGGTGTGTGATGTTCCCCTTCCTGTGTCCAGGTGTTCTCATTGTTCAATTCCCACCTATGAGTGAGAACATGCGGTGCTTGGTTTTTTGTCCTTGCAATAGTTTGCTGAGAATGATGGTTTCTAGCTTCATCCATGTCCCTATAAAGGACATGAATTCATCCTTTTTTATGGCTGTATAGTATTCCATGGTGTATATGTGCCACATTTTCTTAATCCAATCTATTATTGTTGGACATTTGGGTTGGTTCCAAGTCTTTGCTATTGTGAGTAGTGCTGCAATAAACATACGTGTGCATGTGTCTTTATAGCAACATGATTTATGATCTTTGGGTATATACCCAGTAATGGGATGGCTGGGTCAAATGGTATTTCTAGTTGTAGATCCTTGAGGAATCACCACACTGTCTTCCACAATGGTTGAACTAGTTTACAGTCCCACCAAAAGTGTAAAAGTGTTCCTATTTCCCCACATCCTCTCCAGCACCTGTTGTTTCCTGACTTTTTAATGATTGCCATTCTAACTGGTGTGAGATAATATCTCATTGTGGTTTTGATTTACATTTCTCTGATGGCTAGTGATGATGAGCATTTTTTCATGTGTCTGTTGGCTGCATAAATGTCTTCTTTTGAGAAGTGTCTGTTCATATCCTTTGCCCACTTTGTGATGGGGTTGTTTGTTTTTTTCTTGTAAATTTGTTTGAGTTCATTGTAGATTCTGGTTATTAGCCCTTTGTCAGATGAGTAGATTGCAACATTTTTCTCCCATTCTGTAGGTTGCCTGTTCACTCTGATGGTAGTTTCTTTTGCTGTGCAGAAGCTCTTTAGTTTAATTAGATCCCATTTGTCAATTATGGATTTTGTTGCCATAGCTTTTGGTGTTTTAGACATGAAGTCCTTGCCCATGCCTATGTCCTGAATGGTATTGCCTAGGTTTTCTTCTAGGGTTTTTATGGTTTTAGGTCTAACATATAAGTCTTTAATCCATCTTGAATTAATTTTTGTATAAGGTGTAAGGAAGGGATCCAGTTTCAGCTTTCTACATATGGCTAGCCAGTTTTCTAAGCACCATTTGTTAAATAGGGAATTCTTTCCCCATTTCTTGTTTTTCTCAGGTTTGTCAAAGATCAGATAGTTGTAGATGTGTGGTCTTATTTCTGAGGGCTCTGTTCTGTTCCATTGGTCTATATCTCTGTTTTGGTACCAGTACCATGCTGTTTTGGTTACTGTAGCCTTGTAGAATAGTTTGAAGTCAGGTAGCGTGATGCCTCCAGCTTTGTTCTTTTGGCTTAGGATTGACTTGGCAATGCGGGCTCTTTTTTGGTTCCATATGAACTTTAAAGTAGTTTTTCCAGTTCTGTGAAGAAAGTCATTGGTAGCTTGATGGGGATGGCATTGAATCTATAAATTACATTGGGCAGTATGGCCATTTTCACAATATTGATTCTTCCTATCCATGAGCATGGAATGTTCTTCCATTTGTTTGTGTCCTCTTTTATTTCATTGAGCAGTGGTTTGTAGTTCTCCTTGAAGAGGTCCTTCACATCCCTTGTAAGTTGGATTCCTAGGTATTTTATTCCCTTTGAAGCAATTGTGAATGGGTGTTCACTCATGATTTGGCTCTCTGTTTGTCTGTTATTGGTGTATAAGGATGCTTGTGATTTTTCCAGATGGATTCACCAACAAATTCTACCAGAGGTACAAGGAGGAGCTGGTACCATTCCTTCTGAAGCTATTCCTATCAATAGAAAAAGAGGGAATCCTCCCTAACTCATTTTATGAGGCCAGCATCATCCTGATACCAAAGCCTGGCAGAGACACAACAATAAAAGAGAAATTTAGACCAATATCCCTGATGAACATCGATGCAAATATCCTCAATAAAATACTGGCAAACCGAATACAGCAGCACATCAAAAAGCTTATCCACCATGATCAAGTGGGCTTCATCCCTGGGATGCAAGGCTGGTTCAACATATGAAAATCAATCAACGTAATCCAGCATATAAACAAAACCAAAGACAAAAACCACATGATTATCTCAATAGATGCAGAAAAGGCCTTTGACCAAATTCAACAGCCCTTCATGCTAAAAACTCTCAAAAAATTAGGTATTGATGGGACGTATCTCAAAATAATAAGAGCTATTTATGACAAATCCTCAGCCAATATCATACTGAATGGGCAAAAACTGGAAGCGTTCCTTTTGAAAACTGGCACAAGACAGGGATGCCCTCTCTCACCACTCCTATTCAACATACTGTTGGAAGTTCTGGCCAGGACAATCAGGCAGGAGACAGAAATAAAGGGCATTCAATTAGGAAAAGAGGAAGTCAAATTGTCCCTGTTTGCAGATGACATGATTGCATATCTAGAAAACCCCATTGTCTCAGCCCAAAATCTCCTTAAGCTGATAGGCAACTTCAGCAAAGTCTCAGGATACAAAATATGAATTTAGAATGCAGGGACACAGACATTCAGTCTATAGTACTTGGTAATTTAGCTATATTTGTAAATGGAAGTCTAAATTAGGTAGATAAATATAGAATTGAGATTCCCCTGTCCTTGTATAGATCTATTTCCTAAACTGGTCCCCCCTTTAGGAACAGAACTAAATAACCATGTTGAGGTTACATCAATTGGCAACACCAGAATGTGTAGAGAAAGAGCAGAGAAATAAATTTGACATGAAAATGTAGTCCTTCAGTTAGCTACCCATAATTGTTTTCCATAATTCTATGGTCTACAAGGATTATGTAGCCTTGACATAATCTGGGGTCAAGGACAAGGTAATCAGTCAGTATTTAAAGTATTAAATTATTTTATTAATTGTATTAATTAAAAATATTTATTTTATAAATGTATTCATAACTAATGGATATTTTATTAGTTAATTTATTATTTTTTTTAGAGAACATGTATGAAAAAATGATAGTGCTACATAATCAATTTTTAGAAAGCCACTTCTATACTCACTTATATTTACACTCTTTACTCAGAGCTTAGGGCTTTTTTCCTAGGGAAGAATACTAATTTATCACTATTCTAAAAATTTGCATTATTATTGCTTTATTATTCTTCCTCCATTTTTCCTAGGTCCTTTTTTAGCAGATACATTGTTTAATTAGAGGGAATTGGAAAGAAACAAATACTTAGTCAAACTGTAGTACTATACTCCTCCAATAACTTTTCAAGTTATTTTGATATTTTTAGGCCTAGAGAATTGTACTCTTTCACTAAATTGTGCAGTAAAGGGCAGAGAGATTCAGGATTTGAAAGAGAAGAGGCCGAGAAAGACCAGTTATAAAAAGAATTTGGATATTGGGGTTATTGCTTTAATGGGTGGCTAGCAGATGAGAAAACAGAAAATAGTTTATTCCTTCAAAATATCTTCAAAGTGATCATAAAATACATAGAATATTGTTTTCTTTATAGAGTTCCACACAGTTACATGTAGGTTTACCTGTACAATGAATACAGTCATGTAGAGGATATAATTCCATGGAGAAATGCTGTGTTGAAATTAAATTCTTCAAGTGTTCTATTTCTTGAACTATTTTTAAAAATTACTGAGGTTTCCAATTTATTGGCTATTTTCTATTTTTGCCTTCACTTTTGTCTTATGTAGACAAATATATTCTAAGTTCTCATAGATTTTTAGTTAATTCGTCAATTTCTTCTTTTAAAACTCTTGAGTAAGTCGTCATATACTTGTTTGATCCCATGACCATGACATTTTCTTCTTCATCGATGTCTGCAAACACAAAATATGGTTCCGTTTTTTTTAAATCACAGTATGTGCCAATACAAGTTTATTGTTCAGACCTAATTGAACTTATTTTTGTGGGGCTTCAGTCTACGTTATTAAAGAATATTATTATCAATTAGTGTTATCTTCTTTCCCTTTTGAGGTCATTGGGAAAATCTGAGTAAACCCAGTGTGAGTTTGATGTGACAGTACTGTATACCATATCACAGTGGAACTTTCTGTTGCCCGGAAGTAAATGGAAAGCCTTGATGAACTTATAGAAAGGAGAAACATTCCTTTTCTTAATGTTAGAAAAATAACTCCATAGACTGAAATAGATATGGAAATAGAGTATAAGGAGGCAAAACTTGAAGCAGAAAACCCAAAGTGGGGCCTTTTTTAATGGGAGCTTATGGAACTAGGGGACCGTAATAACGGTGACACTTTTCATGCAAATGTGGCTGCAAGTTTCTAATAAAAAGAGACTGTTAAAAAGGGAAGCGCTTTGCCTTTATGGGGATTAGGAAACCTGTCATGAAGCTACTTTTTCTTAGTAAAAATCACTCTTCATATTTAATTACACAGTTGACTGGGGTGGTTTTGAGGATGTGAATACTGATGTACCCCTTCAAACTGCAATTTTGTTCCAGGATTCTATTCTCCCCTGTAGATTTCTTGGGATGATATTCTAGTTGGAAGGATATAGACCTGGATATTGTATGAGGGGTATAAACTTTCAGTTAACAATGGTGACTTTCTGTTATCTATTCAATTCCTCACCTGTTGAATAGCACTAATGCTATCTGGAGAAGGGATCTCAGTTTACGCAATGAGGTAGATTGGGCTAAAGGCAGTTTCATTCTACTGAGCAGTTTAAAAATGGCCGTGGGATACAGACGACCAATACTGTAACAGGTATAGTTATAGCTTCTCAGAAAGCCATTACTCACTCTTAAAATGGGCATTATGAAGTCAGATTCTGTCTTTCCATTGAATATGATAAAGGAAACCTGTGTGCTGTAGAATGAATGTCTGTGTCCTCTCAAATTTGTATATTCAAATCCAAATCCCCAAAATGATGATATTAGGAAGTGAAGCCTTTGGGAGGTGATTGGGTCATGAGGGTAGAGCCCTCATGAATGGGATTAGTGCCCTCATATAGGAAGCTCCAGGGACTTGTCTCACTTCTTTTCACCATGTGAAGAAATAGTAAAAAGGAACTCTATATGAACAAGAAGGTGGGCCCTTTCTAGACACTGAGTTGACTGATGCCTTTATCTTGGGCTTCAAGAGAAAGTCTTCAGAACGGAGAAATAAATGTTTGCTGTTTAAGTCACCAAGCCTATGGTATTCTGTTATAGAAGCCCAAATAAAACAAGATGGTGTAGTACGGATTCTATGGGCAGCCTTTTTATGCACAGGAAAATGAGCGTTCTAATCTATGAAAGGCAGGTAAATGATAAGTAAAGCACCTCTCTTCTTAATGATCTGATGGAGCCACTGCTGAAACAACTCATCCTACAGGGTAGATCCTACCTCTTTAGGATAATGTGTCTTTATTTTTCTGGGTCTTAGAATAGGCTTTCTTTTGAATACAATCAAAACATCCTAACTGTATTATAACTTTAACTGAAACTTTGCTTATCTAAGTCCCTATTTAGGTCTTATGGCCCAAAGTTATGCTTTTGTACAGAAAAAGAACACATGATAAGCCATTGTCAACAACCCGGCAATTGGGATCATCAATCCAAACATTAAATCTCTCCTGAACTGATCATAAAATAAAACCGATTTAACAAGTGTATGAGAAGTAGCACTGAAAAATAAACTTTACACGTGTGTGTATGGTATATAATCTGTAAATATTCACCTGGTATCTGGGGACTTAATATAGTTTTAACAGAATTAAGGCCTCCTTAAAAGTGTCTTATTTTAAAACTACTACAAATTGTGAAAGAAAAAATTGCCAAGTTCAAGACCTGAGCATTTTAAATTAGTCATCCAATCAAAACTCAGTGTCTGTCCAAATCTGCCAAATAAGTCTGTTCCAGCAGCCTTAGTAATTTTCTTAGTATATGGCATTGTTAATGTATTTTGAGATAATTTATTTAGCCCTGATTGTGTAACATTTTTTATAGCTAAAATATAGCAATGTGAAACAACAAATTGTCCATTTCATGCTGGGTAAATGATTGAAAAGAAAACCATACAATCTATCTCACCCATAATTTTATCCATCAGTCCTTTTCAGAAAGCAACAATGGGAAATGCATGCCATGAATCTCTGTATACAGAAACTTTTTTTTGCAGTGTAGCTTTCAATATCACAGAATTTACACTATAAAAAAAACCTGTTTCTTCGTGTTAGATTTCAGCTGCGTGTGGTTCTACATTCACCTCTCTCACTCTGTATCAGTCATCTTCAAAATGATGGTCATGGGTAGCATGTTTCCTAAGATATTTTCCTACATTTCTTCATGTATCTGACTATTCATAATTCTGGCAACAATTTTGATTATTTCTGAAAGCTCAAACTATTTCTAATTATCTCACTCATATTTGATGGTCAGCATGACAAGTGGTCATAAAAAGTACTTTCTGAATCATTCAGTAGTGTTCAGTTGCACTTGAGAAATCCTCCTAATGGCAGTGGCATACATGAAAAAGGAGGAAGCTGGATTAGATTTTGACATTGCAACTTCTCTAAATCCAACAGGACAGTCATTCCTGGTCTTTCTGTCAATTCTGAACAAATTTGTTTGGCGCCAAAATCAGTATTGCTTTTCTAATCAAGAAGCGATTGGAACATTCTGTCTTGCAGAGAGACACATCATTGACAATGAAAACACTAACTTAGAAGAAAATGAATCAACTTTAGGAATGAAGGAACTCAGTTGGATTTGCCTCAAGCCATTAAGCTTTTATGACAGTCAGTCACTAGATTTTAGAACACTAAGCCACCCTAAATTTATACATGTAAGAAAGAGCATTAAATTATTATATTCAAATGATGTTTGTTTATAAATGGCATATAGTTAGAATTACTTGGCAATCTTGCCAAACACTATACTAAATACATTTTATTTTCTACAAAAATATGATGCAGGATTTCTCTTAGGCAGTTTGCCTGGCTTGCAGCAGGAGATGCCCTCTCTACTTGGCCTGCCAGGATGCATATTGCTTGTACTCCAGCCTGCGGCTCCTGCAGCCACCGTGACTGCTCACTCAGCACCTGGCAGGAGGGTGTGTGGGAGCAAGCAAGTGCAGGGTCTGGCTGGCTGTTCCAAATGCATGCACAAGGGTGGCTCCGTGCAGGGCTTGCGACTTGACTAGGTGTGCCTCACTGAGGGGAACATGGTGGTGCCCAGGCAGAGATGCCCATGACCCCAAAGCCCCAGAAAGGGTGTTACAACATGCTAGTTAGCTTTTTAGTCTTGCCTCTGCAGCCCAACAGACAGCTGCATGTTTACAGCTTGGTTCAGCCCCTTGCCCCACTCTGGCTTATAGCTCTGGGACTGGCTCAAGTCCGTCATTGCTTTCTGTAGTGTAGGGCAGCTGCCCTCCACTGGCAGATGGCAGAGAGCAAGAGTATTATAGCTTTCTGAGTACCTGTGTTTGGTAGGTCCTGAATTTTTGTCCTGCATTCAAGAAGAATGAGGTCATGCTGACAATTGAAGGGCGATGAGGGTGGAGAATTTTATTGAGCAATGAAACAGCTCTCAGTGGAGAGGGGACAGAAAGGTGGCCTCCCATCTGAAGTCGTGTCATCTCCCGCCAGTGTGGCGGAGTCTGGGGTTTTTATAGGCACAGGATGGGGGAGGGGCAGGCCGTTGGTAGTATAGGAAAAGGCAACATTTGATGGGTTAAAAATTATTATTCAGAAAGAATCAATATTGGAAAGGGCAGGCAAACAAGAACAGAAGTTCTCACTCTGGGTCATGGCTTTCATCCAGAATCAGCAGGCTGTTTTTGGCTTGAAGGAGGGGTTTCTCTAGGTATGCACCCCTATCTGCGTAGGCATTGTATGGCTCCTGTCACTATCAAATATAGATGATATCTACTTTACATGACCTTTCACATATGTTCACAAGTATCTCAGTCTGGAGATGAATATCAATGATACTAAACATTTTCACATTGTGATTTAGATTGATATTTCCAATTAATAAAATTATTTTTTGTCTTTTTTGAAAAGCTGCACTTTCAGTTCACTCTTTTCGAACAGAAAACAAAATTACCTAGGTATTAGGGATAGTTTAGCTTAATAATAAAAGTAGATTTATTTATTTTTACCAAAGGAGCATATTAATTTTGAAGATCAGATTGACTCATATAAATAGTGGAATAAACAATTTATTTTAAATTTGTTTTGCCTTCAACAATTATATAGACTAAAAGGGTTTTCCTTGAAAAGAATGAAGAACTGAGAGGAAATATGTGAAATTATAAATACATATTATCCTCAATATGGAATATCAGAAAAAAATTGATTATGCCTACAATGCAAATATAAGCAAAGGAAACTGTTAATCACACCACTGTATTCTTGAAAATAAGCTTTGAAACTGACCAGCAGTTGAGTGCATTGATTGGCCGTATGTGTGCACACACACAGGTTTGTGTGCGCATGTGTGCATTTTAACTGATTACAAGAGATTTCAGATAAATACTGTGGTACTTTGTGTATTGTAACAGCTGTCAACAAATTATTACTCAACCCTCGGTGACAAAGGCCCCAACTGTAATATGGTGAGCAAGGTGCTGAACTGCTATAAAAGACATCACAGAAAAAGAAAGTATTTTATCTTCCAATGTCTAGATTTAATTTATTGTTTGGCACTCATCTCATACTCAGCTAACTAGCCACTAGCTGGTGGCCTCTTTTTTTAAATCTGTGAAATATTCTATTGTGAAAAAGTAATCTCATAAAAGTAGATGTAAATATAGTTCTTATAAGAATAATCCTTTAAATTTTTTTTCTAAATATAATAATAAGTATTTAGGTCTTGTTCATTGTATGCTACTAGATATCTAAAAGTTGATGGACATGTTCCTCATGTCACTGAATGATTACTTTCAAAGGTCAAAATACACTTTAAAAAATAAATATAGAATATTAATTTTCTAGTCTGGGACGTAAGGAGCTTGGCAGTAATTACTTAGTTCTAACAACAAGTAAAAAGCTGAACAAACAGAAAAATCAACAATTCTTCTTGGAACCATCAGAGAAGTGAGCTCACAGGGCAAAGCACTGCCCTTAAAATTAGAAAGGCAAACAGGCACATACTGCAAAACACAACTTAGAGCAGAAACACCTGAGCAGAAACCAGTACCAAGGAGGAAAACCTAAGCAAAATAGATAAATGGGGAGGGGAAAATAACCATTTTGAAATACATCAAGGCATTCTGCTCTTCTTAACAAGGCCTGCCCTCAAGAAAAACTACTTCACTTGGGCCTAATCTAATGGGATTTTATGAGATTCTAACTGACCTAGGGAAAGGAGAACACTTAAGTCTAGCTGATTTTAGCCTTCAACATGGAAGAAGGAAAATGCATAACCCCGTCACACTTTAGCTATGCTGAATCACCCAAGGGGAGGAGGGGGAATGATAATCACTTGGAAAGTTTATAGTCCAGGAGCAAAGGCTCACTAAAACACTGAGATCTAATTATGGGACTAAAGAATGCTTTCCCTCTTCCCACAACTTACCACATTACCAAAGGCCTATTTACCCCAGGTCCTTTCATCAAGTATATGATGTCTAGCTGTAAGAAAAAAAATTACAAGATTCACTAAAAGATAAAAAGCACAGGTTGAAGAAACTGAGCAAACATCAGAACTAGACCCAGATATGACAAAAATGTTGGAATTATGAGATCAGTAATTATAAATATATATGACATTAATTTGTTGGGGATTTAATGGAAAAAGTAGGCAATGTGCAAGAACAGATGAATAATATAAGCAGCAAAAAGGAAATTCCAAGAAAGAATAAAAAAGAAATGCTAGAAATCAAAAACACTGTAATAGAAATAAAGAATGTCTTTGATAGGTTTATTAGTAGAGTAGACATGACTGAGGAAAAAAAGTCCTTGAGCTTTTCAACAGAAAGTTCAATTTACAATGGGTTTATCAGGATGTAACCTGAGAAATATCTGTATTAAAAAATATGCATTCTAGGAAAAAAACAGATGTTAAATGTAAAGCTAGTACATATGCCTACTTGGTGAGTTTGCAGAACAGCAAAGTTGTTAATGTCATTGGAAGAAGGGAAGTGAAGAAAATGATAGCGAAGGGAGGGTATATAGCACTTGTAGAACCTCAGGAGTCAATTTAAGAACTCAGCTTTTACTTTCAGTGAAATGTGGAGCCTTTGGGAGATTGAAAAAGAGAAGTGGTCAAGGTTCCCCATGGTTCCAGTATCAGAATCAACATTTAAGAAACAAAATTAGAACCAATAAGACCAATTATTGCAATAATCCTGGTGCAGTAAATTGGTGTTTTTAATCATGTGTTAGTTGTGGTGGTAGTACGAACTAATTTGAATTCAGATATATTTTGTAGATAAAGCTGAGTTATTGCATATTGAGTGTCATAGGAAGAGAAAAAGTAAACGATGACTCCAAGAAATTTTGGCTAAGGAACTGTGAAATACTTTTTTCAGTTCCAGGAATAGAAAAATTGGAAAAGTAACACTATTCTTGGTGGGAATCAGTTCAATTACAAGTGTTAATTTTGTGAATCCTATTAGATATCCAAGTAGCTATGTTCAATAGGTGTGTGATATATGTCTACAGTTTCAGATACAGGTCTTGTCTGAACATGAGATCACTAAAAGTATAGATTAGAAAAAAAGAATACAAAAAGTCAGGGGATTGAATCCTGATTCCCTCAAATATTTACAAGTTTGCAAAACAAGGAATCAGCAAATGATACTAGACTGTATCATGAGTTAGGTAGTTATAAACCAAGAGAGTGATGTCTCAGAACCCAAATAAAGAAAGTATTCCAAGAAGAAATGAATAATCAAGTGTATGAAATGCTGCTTATCGCCAAAAATAAGAAGTGAATGAGACCTAGAAATTATCCATAGAGTTAAATAAAAAAGAGACTATTGGTTACTTAGGGTGTTTTCAGCACAATGATCACAATGGAAGCTTCTTTGGAGCATCTTTAAAGAAAAGGGCAGGAAAGAAATTGGAAGCAACTACTTTGGAAATTTATACTTCAAAATAAAGCAGAAATATAGTTTAGTAAGTGAAGGTAGTTATTGGATTGAAGGGGCATTTTAAAAAAGTGAGATATGATGACATGTTTATATTGATGAAAATGAGTAGAGAGGGAACTATTGATGATGCTGGGGATGATAACATAGAATAAAAAGGAGGGGATGAGTTCCGGTGTAAAATTGAAGAAGTCAGTCTTACATCAAAGCATAAAATTAGCAAAAACATAATATGAAGCTGAAAAGCAGAATATATGGGAGTCGAAAGATGTGTTGGTAGGGATAAGCAGAACCCCTTTTTCAGTTTGCTACTATTTTTTCAATAAAACAAGGATCAAGCTTATCAGGCAGGAGTGAAGAGGACCAAAAACATTTTGGGGATTTGAGGTAATTTAAACTACTAGACTACCTTGGCTTCTGTCCTATGCAGTTTATCTCTGAATACACAGATAATAAACTATTTTTCATTTTCTAAAATATCTATAATAATCTTTTCAGCAAGATAAAAATGTGTGGGTTTTCGTTTCCCAGATTATTAAAAATGTTTATAACTTGCTAATTTAATTTTTGAGGTTGGATAAATATAGTTCAAGACTTTGTTTCTCCTAATAGCATTTAAACACCCTTAAAGAGATTGATTAGAGATACTGGTGCTAGTACTTTAGGAACCAATTTTCCACCTTTTTAAAAATTTTATATTTTCGGCCAGGCGTGGTGGCTCACGCTTGTAATCCCAGCACTTTGGGAGGCCGAGGAGGGTGGATCACGAGGTCAGGAGATCAAGACCATCCTGGCTAACACAGTGAAACCCCATCTCTACTAAAAATACAAAAAATTAGCCGGGAGTAGTGGCAGGCGCCTGTAGTCCCAGCTACTTGGGAGGCTGAGGCAGGAAAATGGCGTGAACCCGGGAGGCGGAGCTTGCAGTGAGCCGAGAACGCGCCGCTGCGCTCCAGCCTGGGTGACTGGAGCGAGACTCTGTCTCAAAATAAATAAATAAATAAATAATAATAAAAATAAAAAAAAAATTATATTTTCCTATGTAATAATGTAGCTTTATTCATTGTTAAGGAGAAAATAGGACCAGAGGGGAAACTAGAATGTTTTGTTTATTCTCCTCCAGAAACAACAAGATGCAGTGCCCTCTCCTTCTTGCCAATACAGTACAATTTGTTTTTTTGTTTGTTTGTTTTTGTTTTTATTTTCCAGGGTCTCACTTTGTCACCCACGCTAGAGTGCAATGGCATGATCTCAGCTCACTGCAACTTCTGCCTCTCAGGTTCAAGCAATTCTCCTGCCTCAGCCTCCCAAGTTGCTGGGATTACAGGCGTCCACTACCACACCTGGCTAATTTTTGTATTTTTAATATAGAAAGGTTTTCAGTGTGTTCGCCAGTCTGGTCTAAAACTCCCAACTGCAGATGATCTGCCTGCCTTGGCCTCCCAAAGTGCTGGGATTACAGGTGTGAGCCACCACACCCAGCCAATACATACAATTTAAAGTGATAAGAGTTATATAGGAATAAAATGCTAGTGCTGTGAATGAGCAAATTTAAAGTGAATGAATTTCACTGGGTTGGCACAGTGGCTCATGCCTGTAATCCTAGCTACTCTGGAGGCTAAGGCAAGAGGATCACTTGAGTCCAAGAGTTTGAGACCAGTCTAGTTAACCCAGCAAAACCCAGTCTCTAAAAATAAATATATAACTAAAAAAAATTTTAAAAATAAAAATAAATAAATAAATTTAAACAAAATATTTATCACAAATCTTGGTCACTTTGTCACTCAAAACTTTTTTTTTTTTTTGGTTGTTTTGTTTTAGGTCATTGTTGCTATTCACCTGGATCAAAGCCAAAAAAACAAAACAATGGGCTAAATGACAAGCAGAGCTGAAGTCAGACTGTCTGAGTTCTGTTGTCATCTTAGAGGATACAGATGACTTTAATAATATTTAATTCCTTTGCCAGGCCTAGCCAGCATTTGGAAAATATGATGGGTATATTGTGTTATTTAAATTTAATTTCAGCTGGCAGCTCTGCTGTGCCATCTTATTAACTAGAGAACTACTTAGCAATATAAATCTCAGTAATGTCACTGATAGACACACCCACTTCCTTTACTTCACTGCTTGATGGGCAAGGAGCAAAAGTTAGTGAGAATCATATGTATGATTAATAAACTAGGAAGAGCTTAAAATAGCTACTGCTCTATACCACATGGGCTCCCATATATTAAGTAAAAAGGCAAAAAAAATACCCTGATGAGAGAGGTCACATTTTCTAAGACCACTGGAGGAAGTGATAAAGCCCTATTATGTATGAATCTCCAGGAAATCCATTCTGTGTCAGAAGAGAAGAAGGCTTACTAACTTGTGACTGTTAGAAATGTGCAGTCAGAATTTTCTTAATAAGCCGTGGAAGGAAGGTCAGAATATAACTACAAAGGAAAAATGTGATTAAAAATAACAGACAGAAAGGAAAGAAAAGTCAACAATTCCTCTTGATTCAACTTAGTATCTTGATTTTATTCTCTCTTGTCACTAAGAGTAATCAGTTCACTGAACTCTGATCTTTTACTTTGTCCTCTGTAGGCTTGGCTTAACACACATTGAGGAAGCAGCCTAGACACAGCTTATATGGCTGGGCCCGAAACCACATGAAACCACCACCACCACAGCACTTGCTTTTGTGTTTTATGAACCTTTATACACATACACACACATATATCACATATAAATGATATATATCATATATATGGCATATGTGTGTATATATTCTTTTTTCTTCTCCATCTTCAGTTCAAGAAAAACCTATCTTCCTCTCATCAAAGCAATGCATCAATATGAAAGAACAGAATCGCAACTTGAACAAATTGCAACAATCAGATAAATAGTGAAAAACTAAATATTAGAAGAGAAAAGGGAAAGTGTTGATATAGGAGTTAAGAAGAAATTAGGCAGATAGTAAGGGTATGAGAGTCCTCAGTAAGGCTTTTCTTTTTAATAAAAGGCAACCCGCAAAACATTTCTTATCTAACAGAAAGCATCTTGAAAAATCAGAACTGCAAGCATTGATATGCAAATACCAGGGGCTGAAAGCCAGGTAGCCAGGTCCACCCAATATGGCATCTCCCACCCTCTTTTCCTTGTCACCACGTGTGCCAGGTGTCATGGCAGCCTCCAGATAAAAATCACTTGTACAAGCATCATGGCCACCACCAGGTGGAGGCTGCATTTGCATAATAAAAGGCTACGGTGGGAGGGCCAGTCTTTTCACAGGCTATGTGAATGGCACACCTGGTCAAAACAATCCCCTGAGCCCTATGTAAGTCAATCATCACCTCCTCAAGCCTCTGTACAAACCGACTGTATTTCCCACAGTTCAGAGACCCTCTTTGATCGCTTTCTCAAATGAGGAAACTTTTTCCCTCTTCTTTTTCCATTAAACTTTCTGCTCCTGAACCCACTCCTCATGTGTGTCCCTGTCCTGAATTCTTTCTGCACTGAAACCAAGAGCCAGGGTATATACCCCAGACAATGGAGCCATTTCAGTGTTAGTTATATAGATATAACAACATCAAGTAAAATTGTATTTTATAATTATGATATTTTTAAAACAGAAAATTATTATTTAACTTTAGTATTGTAGGGATCACACATTTTCATTAAAATATCTGTACTTTGGAAAGAACTGAGCTATTATACTAGATAGAAAACAGTAAAACTTGTACTTTTTAAAAAGTATACGAAAAAGAATGTCTTGAGGTTAAGCTGAAAATTTTTCTAAAACTATGAAGAATTAGAAGTAATTATAAGTTAAATAGGCCACAAAAGGTGTGAGTTTTCAAACTATGTGAACAATAAGATTCAATTTAAAATAACTTGGCTTTGTTTTTCTGCTACCTAGTATTTGAGAACACAAAGAAATCTTGATTTTTATGTAATTTTCAAATTTAAAAATAAATTGCTAAAAGTTGCTTACAAAACTTTAAAAATCACTTTTTTGGCAGCATATGTTTAAGGAACTTACTATGTGATTAAGCTTTTCAGAATATGCTTTATTTCAACAGCACTCCTGGAAACTGTGGCCATTTACTCAAAAAGACACAATAATAAGAATAGTTTACTTAAGAATATAATTCAAGCACCTCAGCATTCCTAATTATAAATATCTATTTTTCTGCTTAGAAAATATTAGTAAAATATTGTTTTAAAAGAAGCAAAATCTTTTTAGACTTGTTTAAATAACTATTGTTTACCCAACACTTAACCAGTTCTGTTAAATATCTGATCTAGTTACATTGGACTACTCTTGTACTTCAGGTTATATATTGATACATGTGAGAATTTAATCTGTGTTACTGTCTTATTCTGTTAGATAAGACAATTTTTCATAGTTTAAAATGACCCCATTTTATGATTTCTCATTTTGCAGTCTCAGTCATTATTAACTCTTTTTCTCTTTTTTCTACATTTAATTGGAAATAGCAAAGTAATCATATTTCTACTTCTCAAATTCTTCAAATTGTATTTTTATGTTTATTTAAAGGAAAAACAAAAATGAAAGATAATCTAAAACAAAAT
Organism: Homo sapiens; assembly: GCF_000001405.40. Lineage (NCBI taxonomy): Eukaryota > Metazoa > Chordata > Mammalia > Primates > Hominidae > Homo > Homo sapiens. The sequence goes on from NC_000003.12 coordinate 104,135,199, forward strand.
ATTCTAAAACGTAGACACATCAGTCAGTATTTCCCTTTTCTTCTCTCCTCCTGCACATCCTGAAAATACAGCAGGGAGAAATAAAACAAATCAAACTTATTTTTAATTCTAGAAAACAAACAATCTTCAGATTCCACACTTTTGTTTGATACACCAAAACATTTATGCTAAAAGGGCACACCAAAAACCAGGGAAAAATTGAGAACATTCAAGAATGAATGTCAGGTGATAAAAATTTTCCTAAGGAAATCAAAGCAAGATGAATGGCATGAACATTGAATAATAAATTGTAGAATGTATTAAAGGACAAAATTACAAAAAAATTAGTTTAAAGATTTTGATTGACTTTATTGCAATTCTAAAATCAGGCAACAATTCATTCTATGAAACAGAAAGTATTCAGATGAGCTGAGAGGAGGGGGTGGACATCGTAGAGAGAGAAGAGCTGAAGAAGGCTGAGACAGAGAACACAAAATATATTAGTCATTTCAAAGTTATTTTTCTTGTAAGGCAGGGAGAGGGAGACAGAATAATAGAAAAATAACTGATAGATTAACATCAGATTACCTCAGGCTATTTCTTCTGTGTAAGGATTAAGGCAGAGGAAATGTCATTGTCATGCCCTTTGAAGATATTAAACTGACTTGATGGGAAATTGACTATTATCTCTTTCTTCTGATTTCTCCAAGATCAGACAACAAGGTACCTTGAGTTTGGTGACGTGGAACTTTAGCATAAGTGACTCCATTTTTATTTTTAGTTTAGTTTACTGAGGCCTAGTGTAGAAACTCAGTCCAAAACAATTACCTCTTATAATTTTTATTTAACAATTAATAGAATGAAATCTTTAATTATAAGGGAATTAGTAGTGGACAATAGGATGTAAGCATGCTACTAGTTCAACTGACACAAAATTGGAGGTAAAGTGACAGGTGGCGGGAAATAAATCTGAGTAAATTTCTTGATTGCATTGTAATAGTTGAGTGCCAAAGCATAACATTAAGTTGGAGCAAAAGAAGTAGTAGAATGATTAGCATTTTTCAGCAGACCAACATTTATCACAAAAATATAATATTATTGGCTAATATGGTATGTTAGAGAAAAGAGAAGGGAATTAGAGAAAAGGAAATGTGCTAATTTTGCCACTGATTTAGAGAGAAAATTTTAAAACTATATGAAACTAAGAACTCTTACAGTTATTAGAGTAATCATTGCAACAAAATGGGTACCCTTCCAAATATCTCAACAAACAGCAAGGAAACCAGACTTTTAAAAAACTATAAAAAAAGATTTTTTAAAATGACGGACCTTAAAGCAAATATATGACACGCAGGGGGATTTCAAATCCTATTAAAAACGATTTTAATGTTAAATCACAAACAAAATCCAACTGTAGCTGCATTTAAGAGTAAATCTAATTCAAAGAAATGTTAAAAGTGTGATTTTAAAGAAAAAAGCAAAATGTATACAATAATATTCTACCAAAGTAGAAATCAATACCAAGGCATTGAATAAATAAAGATGGACACCTCAAAATGCTGAAGGGTTTAATTCATAAAATGAAGTTATAAGAGTTGTGAATATTTATACACAAGTTATCCTGGCAACAACAATCATAAAATACAAATTGTATGAGATACTAGGAGTAATATATAGGATGTATTATAGAGACAGTTTTATCTTTCTCAAGCCATGACTACTACAATGATAAAATAAACAAAAACCTAATATGTAAGACATAAATGACATCATTAATAAAGATAATTGATGTTTATATAAACCATCTAATCTACTTACTTGTATCCACTATACTTCTGGATCACGTACAGATTTGTCATCATAAAGTGCACAAATTTTGTATCCTATGTATTTTTTTACCTATTTGAATTTTTTCCTTTTAATTTTATTACTTTTTCTTTTTCAACATTTTATTTTTGAATCCAACTCCTACTTTAAATTCTTCCACCCCAATGTATACCTAATTAAGTTATATCTGGGTTTTGGCCGTAACTTCTCAGTGATCATCCCACAGTATAATTATGCAGGGTGATGCAAGGATACTTTTGCCAATGTGTAATTCTTTTATGACCCCTTTCATAACCTTTGAGACTGCCTTATTTCTAACTACATTAGGTTCAGATTTCTCAACATGCCTTACGTGTTTCTCCAAAATTTATGATGAAACCTCATTTCCAGCTTCATCCTATAATATTCTGTCATATTTGCTCTGTTCACTTCTAATCTTTTATTGCTTTCAGAATGTTTCACTCCGTTTCTGGGCTTTTTGCTTCCCCTTACGTTTCCCATTTACTTTGAATTTTCTTTTCTTCTTTTCCATAGCTAATCCACCCAGCATTGTGCATTTATTGATACTCGGCAAAACTAGAATTTTTTGAGAACAACATATTATATATTCTTCAAATTTGTGTAGTAAGTGTAATAAGACACAATACATTTATGTTAGTAAAGAATGGAGATAATAATATCTTAGGAGAGTAAAACTCTTTCTGTCTTTCTTCCATCCCACATCTCACTCCTCCACACTGTTACTCTCATCCAACTCTATGGATTGCACTCAGAGTTTCTTAGTTTTTTTTTTTTTTTTTAGACTAAGGGAGATATTGTTTGTACTCTAGGAGACAGAAGCTCGTAGCTTAGACTAGGCTAGTGTTTATGTGGGAGTAATGGAGAAATGTATATAATAGATTTGAGAGAAATTTAGGATTTCACATTGACATACATTAGTTGTAGGTAAGATCTGGTAGTTCTTCAATCCTCTCTTGTTCTACACCCATATTTCCATCATATTTCTGACATAACCTTTATTAAAGTGATGGTTATTACAAACCTCCATTTTACCTCCTTCCTAGTTTACAATTTATTTTAGCTTTCATTAAAATCACCAATGACTTTATTGTAGAATTCAATGGTTATTGACTTTGGTAATTTTGGTCACACTATCACTCTTGAAACACTTGCAGTGAATATGAATACCAATTTAAAAATTTTTATGTGCAATAATATGACTTTATTTACTTCCTATTAATGACAACTTTACTTAATGTATTTCTAGACCTCATTTCCCCATACCAGTGGGAAAACAGTAATAACCACTGTTACTACTTACAAAGTTCCCAACTCTCTTGAATTGTGACATAGTTTTTGTGACCTTATGCAGTGACAAGATATTTGAGACATGGGGGAAAAGGTGCTCCAATTATTACTTGATAGCAATTCTTATGAGTTGCCTTTGTGATGGCCCTAGTTCTTGTCTAAAGGACTTTCCCAAGTCTGGTGTCTCTCTTATTTTCCTATCTCAGTTGTAGTGCTATGTGTGTTACCACGTGGTGGGTTGCAGTATGTACCTGGGATCTTATTACCTCTACTTGGATACCATAAAAGGCAATTTGGAAATCCCTGCCCAATTATTTCTACTCTCTGGTCCCTTTCTTTCTTTTGCAACTCATGAAAAGACCTTGAATATGAAGGTCAAATATTTCTCCCTTTATGCCTTCTTTAGAAATTATTTTCTATGCCCACAGATTCCTACTTTCACCTCCTTTGTAACCCATCCCTTACTCTGCATTCCACCCCACTTCAGAAAAAAAGTAAAAATAAAAATAAAGTACTTTGACTTTTGAAGGACAAAAGGCAAAATGACACGCTATATACTGTTTATTTTAATCTGCTTCATACCTCCCTGGGGCTATGAATGCAGGGTTAGATATATATTTGAATTAAGAGGAAGAGAGAAAGGTAGGACAATTGGTGAAAGTAAAAAAAAAAAAAAGTTATTATTTCACCACATTTTTCTCCTACTTCTTTGGGATTCCTGGGAAGGTTTGTTTTTGTTTCTTAATGGGTGTATTTATTTCCTTATGCTTCACGTGATTGTTTTGATATTCTTCTCACTTTTAGGTACACTTTTATCTGCATACAACAGTTCTTCCTCATATTACATTTTATTTTATCTTATTTCTTTCTTAACCACTATAAATACACATTATTATATGAGTAATGTCTTTCTTTAAAATTTGTTTTTAATGCAAACTTTCATGTTATATAAGTGTGTATCCATGAAAAACACATGATATTGAAATGTTCTTTAAAATAGATGCAATAATTTGTACTCCTAACAGAAACATTTTGATGCACCGTGTTATAACACATTATTGTCAGTCCTTCTTAATTTTGCTAATATTTTGGTTGTAAAGTGTTATAGTTGCCAGAATTATAAAGATGACTCCACTTACAAGTGCCCTATGTTATTCAATCAAACACCAATCTAGATATAGCTGTGAACCAAGTTTGCGGATAAAATTGGGGTTGCTAAATAGCTGACCTTGACCAGGCACAGTGGCTTATGCCTAGTGTAACCATGCTAGCGTAATCCTAGAATTTTGGAAAGCCAAGGCAGATGGATCACTTGAGCTCAGGAGTTTGAGACCAGCTTGGGCAACATGGCAAAACTTTGTGTCAACAAAAAATTTAAAAGTTAGCTGGGTGTGGTGTGGTACTACAGGTGCTGGGCATGGTGCTGCACAAAGCCACCAGCTACTCCAAGGACTGACATGGGAAAATCACCTGAGCCTAGTAGGTTGAGGCTGCAGTGAGCAGTGACCATGTCACTGCACCAGCCCAGGTAACACAGTGAGACTTTTTCTTAAAATCAAGTCAAATAAAATAAAAATAATAAATCAATAAATATATAAATTAATAGCTGTCCTTAAAATAGAGACATTATCCTGGACTATCTTGGTGGAGTCAATAAAATCACATGAGCTCTCAATATCAGAATAGGAAGGCATAAGTTTGAGTCTGAGAGGTAGAGAGGCAGAGGAGAAAGATGAAGAAGGAAGGTGAGAAAAATTCAAAGCATGGGAGAGACTTGACCTGCCATTGCTGGCTTTGAATATGGAGTAAGGAGATCAGAAGTCAAGAAAGGTATGTGGCTTCTTGAAACTAAATGTTGCCCCGTTCCACAGTTAGAAAGGAAAGTAGAATCTCAATTCTACAGTCATAAGTAACTGACTTCACCCAATAATCTGAATGAGCTTGGAGGTAGTTGCTTCCCAGAGCCTCACATTAAGACCCCAGCCTGCCAACACATTTCCACCATGTGAAACCCAGAACAGAGAAGCCAGTTGAGCTAACCCAAAAATTCTGACTTACAGAATTGTGAGATTTTTTTTTAACAATGAAGTTTGTGGCAATTTATTATAACAGAAAGTAAAAAGCAGTATAATTTCATTATTGGCTTCGTTTGTATTTTCTAATTTCTGAGGTTATGCATATATCACATTAATTATTAATCATTTATTTTCACCTCTATAGATTGTGCTTCACAGATGTTGCCCATTGGGATTTTCTGCCTTTATCATATAGATTTATAAGAATTTCCTATATACATTTTAAAATATTATTTATGAATTAAGAATATTAAAAAATAGTTTGCCATCTGTTTGCAAAATGTGTCTATTGTGCCCTTCATTAAACAGAATGTTTTAAGCTTTATGAATTCAAGCCCATCATTTACTTCTTAATTATGTGTTCTTTTGGAATTTTTTTTTTTTTTTTTTTTTTTTTTTTTTTTTTTTTAGACAGCGTTTTGCTCTTGTCACCCAGGCTGGAGTGCAATGGTGTGATCTAGGCTCACTGCAACATCTGCCTCCCAGGTTCAAGCAATTCTCCTTTCTCAGCCTCCCAAGTTGCTGGGATTACAGGCGCCCATACCATGCTCATCTAATTTTTTGTATTTTTAATAGAGACAGGGTTTCACCATGCTGGCCAGGCTGGCCTCGAACTCCTGACTTCAGGTGATCCACCCTCCTCGGCCTTCCAAAGTGCTGGGATTACAGGTGTGAGCCACTGTGCCCAGCTGCTTTTGGAATCTTCTTTTAAAATTTTTTTCATCAGTCAAAAGTTATGAAGAAATTCACTTATATTATTCATATTGGTACTATATTTTACTTTTCATATTTAAGTTCTTCATCTACCTTCAGTTTGTCTCTTGTTGTATAAAGTTGTACTCTATTTTTTACACTAAATTTGAGTCAGTTCTCTTAAGCACTTTTTTTTAAACTAAATAGTATCTCTAATGCTTTGCAATGTCTCTATAGCAATGGTTCTCAAACTTTAGCATGGATCAGAATCACCAGGAATACTTGTGTATTGTTCAGGGTTCAATTAGAGAAGCAGGGATTTATTGCAGGAACTTGACCTTACATAATTGTGGAAGTTGGCTAAGCACTCTGCGAGACTGTTTTCTCTGTGTCTGCGGCTGAAACTTGAAGTTCGCAGGGCAGACAATCTGAAAGGAAGTTTTATGAGTTTTATGTAAAGCTGGAGAGAGCAAGAACAAGCTAGATACCTCAAACACAAACTGGAGATCATGAAAAGGGACTGTCCCCACGAGGTGAGCCAGTAGGTCGGTGTCGAGATGTGTGATCTGCAAAATGGGTACTGTTTCAATCCCACCCTGGAAATCTCATACAAGAGTCTGTGTTATAGTCCTCCCTAATTATAAATTTACAGGAAAGAGATTCTGGGAAATTAGTTCAACCTATTCAAGTTTACATATTAAAAAGACACCACAGCTTATTAAACATAGATTGTTGGAGTGCAACATTAGTTTCCGATTTACCATTTCTGGGTCTTTGCATATATAAGTTCCCAGGAAATGTTGATGCTGTTGGTCTATGAACTACATATTGAGAATTGGGTGTATAACTACTATATGTATATAACTATCATAACAAGTCCCAGGTATGCCAATAATCTGTTAATTAAATTAATATGCCATGATAATATGTTTTACTCTTGGTTACTCTATTGCAAAACTACCTTAAATATTCATGAGGTAGGTGGTGGGACTTGACTACAGAGGAAGGTCGCTGACACCAGACCAAATTAAGGACTAATTAAAACAGGGAAGTTGTAGAAGAAGAAGCTTTCCTTAAGACATGCCCACAAATGTGCCATGTCAGTTTACCATTGCCATGGCAACACTCAGAAGTTACTGCTTTTTTTCACGGCCACAACCCAACGACTCAAAAGTTTCCACCATTTTTTCTAGAAATTTCTGCATAATGCACCCCTTAATTTGCATTTGATTAAAAGGGGGTATGACTGCAGAACTTCCTCTGAGCTGCCATGTTGGACACACTGCCTCTGGGGTATCCCTTTTCCATGAGGAGCAGTAGCTCTGCTGCTGCTGTATGCTGCTGCTTCAATAAAAGTTGCGGATTAACACCACCCTTGAATTCTTTCTTGGGTGAAGCCACAAACCACCCCCGGCTAAGCCCCAATTTGGGAGCTCACCTGTTCTGCATCATTCAGAATACATATATTCACCTGTATTTCAGGATTACTATGTCAACCATTGCTGAATTTTTTTATTAGGATACATTAATACTAAAGAAATATTTCTCTATTCAGCTCTTCTTTTCAGTAGTAGAGCCTACATTTTTAAATAATAGTTTTATGTATTACTTGTCACATAATTCCTATATACGTCTATTGCTATTAAGAATATTATATTTTCTAATATTTTTATTGCTATTAATTGATGCTGATTTTTTAATGTTAATGTTGTATCTATCATATTGGTTATTTCATGATTCCAGCAGTTTTGTTCCTTTTTAATTTTAACTCTTCTGCTAATAGTGCAGAAATTTCAGATTGTGGTTTTAAGTTGCATTTTCTAAACATCTAAATTCATTTTTCTGACATATAGATATTCTTTTTTTAAAAAAATGCCTATTTAGGTTTTTGGACCACCTTCTGTTTTCTTGACTGCTTCTGTTTTAGACTTTGATTTGTAGTTATTTTTATATATAATCATTTTTTATGTACATGTCTACAATTTTCTATTGCCATGTGGCTTGCATTTTTACTTTTATTAAAGTCTTGTCATGATTAGTTCTTACCCTTAAAACAAGCCAATATATTTTTTCCTATTATGATTACAATTTTTATGTCCTGTTTAGTAAATCTTTGCCTCTCTTGTGTTCATAAAACTGTTCTTCTATAGTTTCCTCTATTGCTTTATTTAGAGCTTTTGCTTTAAAGAAGTGCTGTAATTAGAGTTTACAGATACTCAGACATCATGTTTCATTAGGACTAACATTGCTGTGAATTGAAATGAGAGAGTTTCTCATACTATAATATTTTTGTATGTGTGTGACAAACACTATTTCATATGATATATTGTTATTTTTATATGCAGGTAAATGCACTTAAAATATTTTATTTAAAATTCTTACATTTATTTCTACAAATAAAATTAACCATAATTGTATTTTCTTGTACTTTGTTTTTCAAGTATTGTGATCAAAATTATACTAACTTCATATATGTTGTTCAGCAGTTTTCTTTCTGTTTTTATTTCCAGGAAATGTAAAATAGAGTTAATCTATCCTAAATGTTTAGTAGAACTTGACTATAAAACTGTCTTTCTGTAGGTAATTTTTTTAAATGTAATTTCAAATATTTTAATGATTCTTTTTCTATCTATTATTTTTAATTCACATTGGACTGATATCAGAATATTATTTTTCCCATTTTTCAGGATTATTTAGGTTACTAAATATATTAGGATAGTATTTTTTATCAGTTTAATAATTTAATGATGTTTTCTTTTTTCTATATTTTCTTCATTACATTTTTGCCCTGTTGATTTTTTTTTATGATTTCCTTTTCACATTTTTCCCAGAAGTTAAAGTGTTTTTTAACAACTAATTGTATCAGTATTTGTTTTCTTTCTTTACTTCATTGTTTTCTGATTGTAGTTTATTCTATTTGCTTTTTGTTGCATGGTTGCTTATTGTCTTTGGTTTTGTTTCTTCCATTAAATGACTAGCTAATTTATTTTTAGTGTTTTTTTTATTTTCTAACAATTGTATTTAGGTAAAATATTTTCTTTTAAGTACTCTCTCAGATGCAACCAATACATGTTGACATATTACTACATTGTGTATTATTAAACAGATATTATTTCTTTCTTTTTTAAAATTTTTTATCCCTCTCATGGCAAGTGGACATATTTATAAATTTCCTCTATAATTCTTTTTAATCTATGAATTATGTAGTAGTACTTTTCATTTTTATTTTTCAAATGCTTGGGGTAATTTTTCTATCGTATTTCAAATTTTATTTTATTGGAGAGCAAAGAACACATGCTGTGTGATGTTTATTCCTTTGTGACTAAAGTGCATAATATACTTTTGAATTTTTTTTATATGCTCAAAATAAATACATGCCCTGGGTTTGTTACACAATACCATTTGTGATAATAAAACATTTAATGCTCTTGGTTTTTCTTTGTTTGTTTTTCTAATTTCTAAAAAATAAAAAACCATATCTCTTGGCTATTTGTCTCATTATTTTTATCTTGCAAAAATCTGTTTAAGATCATATGATTATGTATATATGTTTTATCTGCCTACCAGTATCCTCAGATATATGCTACATTTGTTAATTCACCCAGAAAATAAAGGTAAACAGACATGTATTATACAATTTAGCAATCTACCTACATCTGTATGCATGTACTCTGCATTCCTCTCTGATGCAGTGGTTTAGATACACTGTTCTTATGCTGGTCAGCCCACAAACATGAGTACTGGGTAATATCACCTTTTCCTAATAAGGGCATTTAATCTTTCAATGATTTTCTTTTATTTTGCCACAGCATTCTTTTCTTTCTATTATATTATTTTATTTTGAAGAGACACCTGCTGGATTAGTTTATGTTAATGGCATAAAAAGAGCCATAACCAGAAATACTTGTAGGATATATTGTATTTAAATAAGCTACCTGATTTCAACAAGGATATAGGGAATCTGGAGTTGTAAAAGCCACAAAGTGACATTTAACTAATACCGATACAATGAGAGAATTTCCCCAATAAGTAGTCAGAAAAAACAGTAATATTCACTAGGCTTTAACTTAGATGTATTTCAGAGATGCTTAGTGATTTAGGGGTCCCATTTCCAAAATTGTTGAGCACTTTGCTATTTTCTTATTAAAAAATATAAAAAATAGACAGTAACATTTGATTTGCTGAGCTATTAAAATAGAGATGCATGAAACATGGAAGACTAAACCTACAAAAATTGCTGAGTAATGTAACTCAGTAATTATATAACTGAGTTATGTAATTTGATTATGTAAACTCCAGAAACTTTATGGTGATTCACTGAAAGACCCATTCTATGAGCCAATGCCTGTTCAAACTATTTATATTTTGAAGAAAATGTGGTATTTGAGTTACTGCTCTGGTCATTTTATTCAGTAATTGAAAGAAAGCCTGCATTTTTGAGTGGAGAACAGAGGCAAGGGGATTTTGCAGCTTTTCAGGCACTCACTACCAGCAGACACAGTGGGGATCCAGGTAAGTAGTACACACTGACATCCAAGTGGTGGAAAGAAATTTGCAGCAGTCTGAATAGGAGAATCTTATTTTTGCCTAAGATTTAGAAGCAGAAACATCCTCCTTGGAAAGAAACTAGTCTCTTTTTGAGAATTGGTTTATCAAGAGATCATAACCAAGACTAAAGTTCTTACCATGGGTCAGCTACCGACCCTGCTGTGTTTCTCAGCAGGTTATGAAGAAATAAGAAATTATGGGAGCAAACAAAGCACACTGTCACCATGCCACATCTTTTCTTTTTGCTGACCCTCCCTCAATTTACACCTATGACCTCAGCCTCAGGGGGATTGTCTTATAACCCCTAGAATGAGAAGGAAAGAAACATTGCTGATAACATCAGAAGATATACTAACAACAACAACGAAAATAAAGCCAATTTGAAGATCAATAGAAGACAGAAAAATATTCCAGGGACCATAATTTTAGGTAATCACTTATTTAAATTTTGATTGTAATAAAATTCTGTTTGAAATAAATATCAACATAGATTAAATAGTGACTAAAAGCATGCGCTATTTGAAGGAGTAGTCAGGGCTTTACCACAAAAAATAATAGAGGAATGGTGACTTGGAGGAATGGGAAAGATATACATGAATGGATCACTCACAATGGCCTCAAAGAGTATGACTATTCAGTTCCTAAATTAATGCACACCAAAAGAGTCCAGATAAAAATATAGTTTTTAAAACAAACGGGTCCAAGATCATAACTATGTGGTCAATTGCATTCAGTGAATTCCAGCTTTCATTCTACTTCTTTCTGTTATTCTGTTCCTTCATTTCACAAAATGTATTATTTTATTAATAATTGATGTTATTTATTCTTCTGTATTTTTAATAAAAATATGAGCAAAATTTTCACACACTAGTTTAGAGAAAATATTTTTATGTTTTATGTTTAGGACTTGCTGGACAAAGCTGAAACCTGGTGATATGGTTTGGCTCTGTGTCCCCACCCAAATCTTATGTTGAATTGTAATCCCCAGTGTTGGAAGTGGGGCCTGGTGGGGTGATTGGATCATGGGGTTGGTTTCTGATGGTTTAGCACCATCATCCTACTGCTGTCTCGTGAGTGGGTTCACACAAGACCTGTTGGTTTAAAAATGTGTAGCATCACGCCCTTCACTCTCTTCCTCCTGCTCCCACCATGTAAGATGCACTTGCTTCCCCTCCTCTATTATAGATCACCACTCCTCTATTATTTTTTGTTGTAAAGCCCTTACTACCCCTTCAAATAGTCCAGGATTTGAATCACTACTCATGAATCTATTTTGATATTTATTTCAAACAGACTTTATTATAATCAAAATATAAATGAAGTGATTACCTAAACTTATGGTTCCTGGGATATTTTTCTGTCTTCTATTAATCTTCAAATTGGTTTTATTTTTGTTGTTGTTGTTGTTAGTATATCTTCTGATGGTATCAGCAATGTTTCTTTCCTACTCATTCTAGAGGTTATAAAACAATCCACCTGATGCCACAGGTGTAAATTGAGGGAGGGTTAGCAAGAAGAAAAGGCGTCGTATGGTGACAAGTGTGCATTATCTGCTCCCATAATGTCTTATTTCTTCACAACCTGCTGAGAAACACAGCAGGGTTGGGAGCAGACCCATGGTCAGAACTTTAGTCTCAGTTAGGATCTCTTGATAAACCAATTCTCAAACAGAGACTAGTTACAGGTATTTCTTTATAGCAGTGTAAGAAGGAACTAATACACCTGAGTAAAAAGAAAAGGCTTGGAAGTTACAGATTAAATAGTAAAAGATTTATCTTCAAAGAGTATGTGATTATGTTTTAAGTTGAATGATGTGAAAGACATGTCAAGGATTGTCCACCTGGAGATACTTCTCATATCTTCCCTTGGGGACATTTATTTACACTATAAAGTGTAAAACCCCAGGATTTCTTCTTCTCCTCCTAAGGAGATTTGTTTATATTAGCAAAGTATGGTTTTCCACTCTCCCTCTGATGGGAAGTTTTCCGAATAAGCTATCTTAAGGAGTCATCCAGATTCACAATGTCAAGTTTCTGAATTATAGCAGAGACCCCAGAAGTATTTCCAGCAAAGCATGACTCTCAGCAAATTGTCTTGCAAAAGGGAAATTGGGACACAAGGGAATTGCCACAATTGTTTTTGTATGCTAGTAATAATAAATGTGTCCTTGGCTCAAAAATATTTTGTCTACATTCAGGATAATATGAATAAATACAGGTATTAAAAACGATGTTTGTGTACATATTTGTTTATATGTCTCCTGTTTTCTTGCACCAGCTGTTCTCAAACTTTTTGTCCTGGGAACTCTTTAAACACTAAATGATTATCAAGGACTTCAAAGAGCTTTTGCTTATGAGGATTATATCCCTGCCTTATTAGAAATGAAAACATAATTTTTTTAATATTTATTAGTCAATTAAATAGCCCATAATAACATATTTCATGTTAATATAAAGCATATATTTTATGTACAATATGATATTTTCCAAAAAAACAGAAGAATGGCATCATTTTGAATATATATCTATTTGAAAAAGGAAAGGCTTTGTTCACTCTGAAAAGGTCAAACTTATACCCAGATGTCCACGGACCACACTTTGCAATTAAAGACATTTTCACATTTTTTCAATTAAAACCACATTTTTTCAATAAAAAACACATTTTTCAATTAAAAATATATCTCATATTTCTCTCCATGTGAGTATATAGATATAATTCTCATTTTTAAAATTGAGAAAAAAATTACTTAACAGTAAAATATACAAAGATTGAATACAATTTAGTGTATAGCATACAATTGTGTATCCAATACCCCAATTAAGAAAAACAAACAAATAACATTACCATAATTTCAGAATGTTATCTCATGCCTGTTCTATTCAATGTCCAAGAGCTATAACTAACTTTTTATTAGTCTACTTGAAAGTCATATAAACAAAATCATACAAATTTTTTTGTATAGTTTCTTTCACTCAACATAATATTTTTGAGATTTCTCCATGTTGATAGGTATATCTGTAGCTCACTTAATTTTAATGGTGAATTGTTTCTCACAGGATGAATATATTGCAGTTCATTTATTAATGAATTTATTACAGTTCATTCTCTCATGGTTGGACATTTAAATTTTTTCAATTTTGTGCTCTCTTGGAAAAGCTGCTATAAACATTTGTGCAAGTGTTTTTATATATTTATTTTAAAATTTATGATAATTAAATACCAGAAGTGGAATTACCGATCCATAGGGTAGGTGTACATTTGTTTTGATAAGAAAGTGCAAAATAGTTTTTCAAAGTGATAGCCCCATTTTACACTCCCACCAACAATGTATAAGAGTTCCAGTTCTCTGCTGCCCCACCCTCTGGCTTTGGTTTTTGGGTTTTGTTTGTTTGTTGTTTTCAGACCGGGTATTGCTCTGTCACCCAGTCTGGAGTGCACTGGCACAATCATGGCTCCCTATAGCATGGAACTCCTGGGCTCAAGCTTAAACTTCCTAGTAGTTTCCACATCAAACTTCCTAATAGCTGAGACCACAGGCATGTGCCACCATACCTGGCTAAATTTTTCTTATTAATATTATTATTATTATTATTATTATTATTATTTTGTAGAGACAGAGTCTTGCTTTGTTACCTAGGCTGGCCTTGAACTTCTGGCTTCAAGCTATCTTCCCACCTCAGCCTCCCAATATGCTAGGATTACAGGTGTGAGACATCTCGCCCAGCCCAGTTGCTCCACTTTCTGGCAATTATTTGGTGTTGCCAGTATTTTAATTTCAGCCATTCTAATGGGCATAAAATTGTATTTCATTGTTTCTAAAATTTGCACTTTCTTAATGACATAGGTTAGGGCCTAACAGGGGAAGGAAAAAACAAAAAGTATTTGGCCAGAGACAATGCAATAAATACATTTTAAACTCCATATAGCATTTTTGACTAGATAACTGAAAATATACTAATGAATAAGTAGAATATGTATGTGACTGTGATACAACATAGTGAGAGCAACTGCAGGAAATATCTGACATCCCTAGGGCTAGAGGAATAGAAAACATAAATTAGAATTACTAAAAATTAAAATCTGGGACCTGAGCCCTGTGAAGATAAAATGGAACACTCTTTGAGAGATGTGTTGCTGATGCCTCTGAGCCACAGAGAGTGTCGCTGTGGATCTGGACATCTGAAGCGGGGGCATAGCCTGCTGGGACTGGTGACTCCAATATGAAGCATGAACAAATTTGTTTAATAAGAGTATGGTAAAATAGCGCACTGGATTCAGATGCCACAATGGGAAGAATTTGAGAAAATGTTGAGAAAATGTTGAGCAATTTGAGAAAATGTTGCTAAGGTAATAGACAGAAACTGCAAGCAGATAGGAAGCTCACAGTGGGCATGCAGAAAACAGAAGAAAAAAAAATTGTTCCCTTTTTTTTTTCTCCAGCCTTGGAATCTATCATGACCTATGGGAAGAGGTTAATCTAGAACCAGCTCAAAAAGCGGAAATGTGGTATGCACCATATGCCTAGCAATTGCTCCAGTGCTATAAGGTCTAAGAAACAGTAAGTTAATAACTAAGAAGGGCCAATGAGACTGAGCATATTTTTATGTTCTTAAAATCCATTTATAACTTTATTTCTGAAGTACTTAAGATTGTTTTCCATTTTTAATTTTGTTGTATTTTCGAGGAGTTCTTTATATATTCTGTTTTATGTCATTTGACATATTTGTATATTGCAATTATATTTTCCCAGTTTGTGGCTTGCTTTTTCATTTTCACAGTGGTGTCTTGAGGAGCAGTTTTTAATTTAAATGTAATCTGTTTTATCAATAATATTTGTTTAGAAGTAAACTTATTTTGTGCACTGTCTGATAAATGTGTAGTTTCCATGGTTATAAATATATTCTTTTGTATTATTCTGAAAATGTTGTAGTCTTACTATTTATGTTTAGGTTTATGACCCATCAGAAATAAATATTTTTTGTATTTGGTATAAAGTAGGATTTTCAGGTAATATATACTCATTGTTATCTAGTTGTTACAGCAATAGTTGTCAAAAATATTTTCTTCATTGAATTTTCTTGTCATTTTTATTGAAAATTAATTGACCAATTATGTGTGACTTTTTTTCTGGATTATCTTGTTAAAAGAAAAACTTGAAATGAATTAAATTGACAGACTTTATTTGAAACAAGAGCAATTCATGAATTGAGCAACACTTAGAACCAGAGGAGGTTCAAAGACCTTTGCCCAACAGAGTGAGCAGTGAGCTCTCATAGGTGAACAGAGCAGCAAAGTAGAGAAATCACCTAATTGACCACAGCTAGGCATCTGCCTTATTTGGGCATGGTGTAAGTTGTTGACTGCGTATGATTGACTAAAGCCCAACTGCTTGCAATTGACTGAAATTCAGCTTTTTGTTATACTCCTCGTTATCTTTTAGTTTATTCACTTACTAAGGTAAGTTGCAAGTTGTTACAAAGGAGCTCAAAAAAAGGAGGAACCCTCAGGATAATAGCCTCCTGCTGCTTTGATGAAACATTCTATTCTATTCCATCAATATACATATTTGTTATATCCAACACCACTTTGATTTGTATGTGCACTGGTATGTTTAGATTTAAGGTGGTGTCAAAATTAGGTGTCGTGAGTCCTTTAAGTTAATTTTCTTATCAAAATTGTTTGAGTTGGCCTGGCGTGGTGGCCCACACCTGTAATGCTAGCACTTTGGGTGGCCAAGGTGGGCATATCACATGAGGTCAGGAGTTTGAGACCAGCCTGGCCAACATGCTAAAAACTCATATCTAATAAAAATGCAACCAGTAGCCAGGCGTGGTGGCACATGCCTATAATCACAGCTACCCAAGAGGCTGATGCATGAAAATCGCTTGAACCCAGGAGGCAGAGGTTGCAGTGAGCCAAGATTGTGCCACTGCACTCCAGCCTGGGCAACAGAGCGAGACTCTGTTTCAAAAAAAAAAGTTGTTTGGGTTAATTTTCACAGAAAGTCTGTTGGGATTATTTTTAATCATTTGGAAAGAAATGAGTTTTTAAATTAATAAGCATAGTATATTTCTTCATTACTTTGGGTGCTTTAAATATCTTTTGGTAATATTTGTATTTTTCATTGCAGAGAACCTTTACATTATTATTAAATTATTTTTATGTCTTTCATGTTTCTATGTGACTGTATATAGTATTTCATGATAGTTATTTCACTGCCAGTATACAGAAACACAATTACCTTGCATGTATCGGCCTTTTATACTTTGACCTTGCTAAATTTATCATTTAGGCCTATTTGTTCTTTTCTATTCCATAGTCTGGTTTTCTATGCACATAGCAATGTAATCTATAAACAACGACAGTGTTTTAGTTTGTTTCTTAATCTCTGTCTTTTTCTTTTATCATCTTTATGAAATTTTAATCTACTTCACTGACTAGTACCTGCAATGTTAAATTGGCAAGTGCAGAAATTCTTTCACGGTTATGAATTTTAAGGGGGAAATGGTGAAAGGCTTATTAATTAATTCTGCAGGCATTCAATTTTGCAAATACTTCTTTTTCTGCATTCATTGAGATGATCTTATGATCATAAGATTTGTTCTTTGTTTCATTGTTTTCAAAGGACTTTATTTAATTGGTTAATTTTCAAATGTTAAACCAATGAGATGTTTTGTCTTGCTTCAAAAAACTATAAGCAAGACAAAAAAAAAGGAAATAAGCAACATAAAACGCATTTTTATTCAGTGGACTGATGACATAAGATTGTCAAAATGTTGATAATTAGGAGATTTGAATGATATGTTCACGACTGTATTTTAGAGTGTTTTCTTTATTTATATATAATCAAAACCCCTTCCAGAGAACAATATTGCCCAGTTGGAATATCAGTAATTCTCTTTCACCTATTTCATTCTCATTAAGATAACAAACAAACTGTTCATGTTTTCAGGAATATTAGTTATTCTTCTGATCAGTCGGATGGACTGGTTACTGCCACTTTTGTTACTACATCTTGACTGCAGTGGCAATCAAGAATTAATTTATCTTATGGTTCCATACTACGAAGCATTAGGCAACACCTTGGTGGCCAATTGTTTAAATTGTGAAGCTTACATTATTTATAGGACATTGACTTTTTAACAGTGGAACAAATCCTTATTTGGGTAATTTTTGTATTCAAATCTGCAGACATATTTTATCAATCTTTCAACACTTTATCAGTTTTCAATTAATATTTTATTTCTTCTTTAAGAAAGTCAAGGATGAATGCTATCACTTAACACTTGCTTAGGAATTTAAGTGATAAATGCATTTATCTTCTTGGCCAATATTTTGAAAAACCTTAAATCAATTTAATGAAGTTTTTGTCATCTGTGCTGACTATTTCAGTCTTGATTAATGTGTCTATTGATACAGGTCTATGCTCATTGAAATAGACTTACACAACTATTTAAGATCTCCTTTCTTCTTTCTTTTTCTTTCCATCTTTATATGTATATTGCAGAAAAATATTGTTAAATTTGATTCATATCAATGCAATTATAATGTAAATCCAATGTAACATATTTAAGGATCATAAATTTGATGAAACATTATATCTTACAAATTATGTTAATTATCTTAAAGTCATATGTATTTAAAGGCTATGCTCATATTTGCAAATAGAAACTACAAAAAATTGTTCAAGTCCAACTATGAATTTCTGTCTTACATAATATAATATTAATAAATTCTAATACTATAAACTTTGAAAAGAAGAAAATGTTCTTATATTCTATAACAATAAATTTAAGACTTAAAATAATTAATTTAATTAATTAAATGAACTTCAAATAATTGCAGTATCAAACTATATTCTTGACAGGTCGACCACAAAGGGAAACAGCTAAGTTCACCTTACTCTCAATAAAATAATTATATTTCCTTTGTAGTTGCTTTTACAATTTTATTGGGACCGTCAACATAATATACGGCTCATCAAACACCTGCCAGCAAAAAATACATTTACATAAACTGTAAACTAGTTAATTCCTTAAAGAGCCCCATGACTTTTGACACATTATGCTATAGAATCTAATAAAATTGTATTCTTTTCTTTGGAAAAGTATTTCTTTACCAGTATAAAATCAGTGCTTTACATTGAAAAGATGATCTTTGTTCTTTATAAACTATGAAATAATGCTCTGAGAAAAAACACCTAATTATGGTAAATGTCTGCTCAACACCATCATGCCATTGTACCCAGTATTTCCAAATTGCTGGATATAAGTTCAATAAATATATATTCAAAAGTCTACAGCCTTTTTTGAATTGCCTTTTTGCTTTTGTTGATATAGCTCTTTAGCTCTGATTCTCAGTGTTTGTTTCTAATACCAGCTAATTATTTGTGAATTAGACAGAAAATACATATAACTTAAATAATATTGACTGGATCCTTTATTTTTCTTGTTTCTCCACCTGTCTGGATTATCATACCCTCAGCTTCTGCTTCATTCAAATACCCTAAAGCAATAATAATGTTTTCACATAATGTATATCTCCCCCAAAGTTGCGTGCGACCCTTTCACTCCTGGTGATTAGTTTTTTTTTTGTTGTTGTTGTTAAATCAGACATTTAGTTAGTTTTCTTCTCAATTATTTTATAGGCAGCTTTATCTTTTTCCCATTCGAAATAATTTCTTTCCTTTGGCATGCTGAACAAAGATATTTTCAGAACAAGAAACTTGGATAATGACTGTGTTTTTCAAGCCTTAAAATTCACTGCTGTTTTTGGATTGCACATAATTGGATTTATTTCTATGGCCAAAATCACTTGCAAAACTATCAATATTTTATAAAAAGTAGTTCTATCTCTTACTAAATTCAATAATATTCAGAAATGATGAGCAGATGCTGCTTTCACATTATTTAATAGCATATTACAATCCCACATCATCATGTATATTCTCAAAACAATTGCAGAGAGCAAGAAGTAACAAAGCAAGTGTGTAGTTTTTATTAGGGTATTAGGAATAAAAATTGGCATGACAATACACTGTTTTAGGTTCATTAGAACAGTTCTTCAAATTGTATGCACTAAGATGAATAACCTATCATATCTCAGATAACTGTGGTGAACGAAGTACATAGGAACAGTTTGCCTCAGCATAAATAGTATACATGTGAATTAATTACTTTTTTCCTGTAAAGCAGCATCAGAAACATTTAGAATAAGGCTGTTATAATAATTTAATCATAATTGATTCAAGGAAAATTATTAATCATATTAGGTGCTCTTCAATAAATCCACATTTATAGTTTTGGGGAAAGTTTTCTAAATGCACTTGTGCTTAAAAGTGTGATACCTTCAGCTTAAGAGTATGTAAATTCCTCATTTTTTAAATCAAGTACATTTGGCCCTTGAACATTGCAGAGACTGGGGCGTCAACAGCTTGCATAGTCAGGAATCCATGTATAACTTTTGACTGCCTCAAAACTTAGCTGCTAATAAGCTACTATTGACCAGAAGCCTTGCAGACAACACACCCAGTAGATTAACACGTATTTTGCATGCCATCTCTATTAAATACTGTATTCTTACTAGAAAAAAGAAAATGCCATGAAGAATATCATAAGAAAAATATATTTACTATTTAGTAAGTGAAAGTGGATCATCATAAAGATATTTTATTATTTTATTTATTTTTTGACTTTTAGGTTCAAACATGTGCAGATTTGTTAGATAGGTATCATAAAGGTCTTCATCTTTATGGCCTCTCTGTTGAGTAGGCTGAGGATGAGGAGGAAGAGGAGAGGTTGGTCTTGCTGTCTCAGAGGTGGCAGAGAAGAAAGAAAATCTGAATATTACTCAAATTTGTGTTGCTCAATGGTCATCTCTATTTATAAACTACACTGATAGACCCCAAATACATTCAATTTACTTTATTTAAAAATTCATTTTAAAAAATCTTAAAAAAATACTTCTCCTATGTATCACAAGTAACTGCCTCTTGTATGTTACTGATCGAGTGTTGCTCAAGCAGCCTGTATGTTGTAATTTAGTCCAGAACAAATCTCTACTTTTCATGAATACAAATTAGCAATTCAAATCTTCAATCTCTTTGAATTTTCTTTAGGAACTAGATACTTTGGGAAATTTCACCTGTAAATAATATAAGCTAAGAATATATATTGCAGAATCAACTTTAGAAAAATGTTGTGCTCAGTTTTTCTTAGATAAAATTTCTCTGCATAAAATTTCAAATGTAAATTGGTCTCTTACTTGCTTACATACCCCTTTCTATGCATTAAGAAGAATTATGCTTGCTGTGGTAGGCAGTACCCCCCCACCCCATCCCACAAATATTTTACTTTGCATGCCTACATGGTAAAAGGGACTTTGCAGTTGTGATTAAGGTTAAGGACCTCAAGATGAAGGAATTATCTTGGAATATTCTGCTGGCCCTAATCTAATCATGTGGGTCCTTAAAACTGAAGAACCAGTTTCAGCTGTGGTCAGAGAAAGAGAATGAGGATTGAAGAGAGTCAGAAAGAATGCATATGACCTTCAGGCATTGGAAAACTCAAGAAAATGGATTCTCCCTAGAACTTCCAGAGGAGAATGCAGCCCTGTCAACACCTTGATTTTAGCCTAGTAAACACCATTTCAGACTGCTGACAACCAGAACTGTCAGATAATAAATTTTTATCATTTAAAGCCACTACGTGTGTTTAGTGAAAGAAACTAAGGCCTCTACAAATGCAGCTGAAATAAAGAATTCAACTAATATTCATCACTCGGGTATTTAAAAATTCATTCCAGATTCCCTTCATCTTCAACTAGGACTGCTGCTAGTCTGGATGGTTTAACTGGTGGCTTGACCCAGCCCCACATCCCTGAGGAGTTTGAGGCAACTGATACCATGCACTTCTTAGTCTCTAATTGCTTTACTTGTCCACTTATCATCAAACTTTGGGCAGTACTAAATGACTTAATGAATCTACTTGGCTCCAAATTATGTATCCCACAGTATGTAATCACACTTCTACCTCCTTCTGATCAGGGTCAATTGTGCTGGCAGAATGACAATTCATTTTCTTTCCTGCTGGTCTGTTGACATAAGTAGTCTAAAGTTATATGGTAGAAGATGAGATTTCCCTGGTGGAATATTTTTTTTTTTTCCTATAAGAATAAACACTTGCAGGCCCGCAGGGCCTAGATTTGTGGGATAAGAAGCACAATTTCTTCAAGTGACTGAATTGTAGTTATGATAATTAGTGTCATTCTTATTTCCATCTCTTAATTCCCAGTCCTATGTCATCCTCTCAGGTATCATCTCTAAGTTTGCACTTTAGCTCTACCTTCTACAGGCCGTTCCAGTGTTCTATCAGGCAAGCAGCATCTGAGCAGTATAGTATTGGATAGGGCCAGTAGATGGAATATGACAGTCATGTGACCACTCCTGCAAGTCCTTTGCCATACAATAGAGACCATGAGTTGGTGAGATGTTGTTGTGGACCCTTATTGGTAGATCAAGCACTTTGTAAGCCCTCAGATAAGAATTTTCTGAAGCTCTATGAGCAGGAAAGGTAGACCTACATCCAGAATATGGATATATTGCATTTAAGATGAATCACTCCCTTTTCTAGAAAAGAAAAGATTCAAAGTAATCAAATCCCCAAATGTACCTGGTTGACATTCTGGAGAGATGTTACCATTTCAAAGACTTAGTGTTAGTCTGCTCCTGGCAAATTAACACCAGCAGCAGTAACTAGATTCATAGCCATGGAGTGGGAGGTCATATTGTCAGGTCTAAGAATAGCCACCATTCCTGCCTCCGTGGATAATGCATTCATGTGTTTATTAGGCCAGCACATGAATGAATTTATTAGGGTGGCTGATGACAGAATCTGGCTGGTATAAACTAGTTGAGTCATTTTATCTACTTGGTTGTTTAGCACCTCTTCTAAGAAGGATGGTATCTGGTGGGCTATACATGGGCTATACAAAGTTTCTTTGACTTTATACCCACTCCTCTGAGTCTTTCAATCCCTTATTCTACTGTCTGGCAATGAGGTGCTGGCATTTTATTTATTTATGTATTTTTCTATCTTTCTATCCATTTATTTACTTATTTATTTAAGAGACAGGGTCTTACTCTGTCACCAGGTTGGAGTACAGTGGTGAGATCATAGCCACCTCAGCCTCCCAAGTAGCTAGGAGTTAGGACTCTAGGTGCACTGCACCAGGCCAGGCTGCTTTTTTGTTTTTGTTTTGATTTGTTTTTTTGGTGTTTTCCAAGCAGGTCTAGAATTCTTGGTCTCAAGTGATCCTCCCTTCTCAGCCTCCCAAAGCACTGGAATTGCAGGTGTGAGCTGCCACACCGCAGCTAATGCTGGCATTTTTACTTCACTTAATGTGCACCATTTTTACTCTAAATTCCCAAGAGTCATAATAACAGTGAGTTCTCACCCTGCCCTGGAGTCACATCGTTAACACATTGTTAAATTCTGTATCCTAAGAAACTGCTCACATATTTATCAACTCTCTCTCTTTAGCACATTGTAGAGCAGTAAGGAGTGGGCTACACCCTCAAACTCAGAAGATTAAAGGCAAGTTGTTCAATGGATTCTCAGGTTTTACCTATATCATGTCTAAGGGTCCACTTTCTTCTTGGTGTATGTGACGTGCAGGTCTGATAATTCAACCAACTCTGGAGATCTGCCCTTATGATAATGTCTTTGTCTTGGAATGCTACTTTTCTGCCCTCTAGTTGGAGGAAATGAGATTCTCTTCTTAGGTTTCCAGGGAGGCCTTCTGGCTTTCACTCTTAGCATTTAATTGCTAGATAATCACCCTCAGCCTTTTGTTTTCTTTTATTAAAGTATCTATTGCCCCTAGCAACAACCAACTAATTCTACAGTTCCTGTAATAGCTTTTTCTCATATTTCTGGAGCCTGATACATTTCACCTTCAATGCACATTCACTTTCACTAGTATATCATCTCTACTTATCACCATTAAAACTTCTAACAATTGCGTTATTGCTGTGGCAGGCCACCAGAAGGTATTAGAGCTCACAAAAACAAAACAAAACAAAACAAAAAACAACAAAAAAACCATAAAAACAAAAACAAAAACAGAAATAACACTTTACAACGTGCTTCCTCGAACACTTCTGGCACTAACTGTGATAGGTCTGGTGCTCTGGGAAACAGGCCGTAAAAGGGAGATCTGTGTCCAGGAAATTAATGGGAGTGCATTAGGAAGAAACAACTGTACTGAAGAGAGGGAAGCAGAATAGGGGAACAGAGCAGTTCTGCTGCAATGCAGTCAAAACAAAGACCTCCTCTGATCCCACAGGAAATTCTGAAGTCAGCAGGGCTCTTTAAAGTTGTCGAAATTTAGGCCAACTGGCCGAATTTTTGTATTCTTACATTGATCAGTCACTGGATATAGGAGGTAATGCATCCTTCAGAGAAGCAGATTCTTTAGATGGTGTCTTGGAAAGAGACTCAGCTGTGAGTTCTCAGTAGGGAATATACCTGGGAGCCAAGGAAATGAGTGCCTCCCTCTTCAAAGGTAATCTGGGTAGTTGGTGCTCTGTAGCACACATTCCAGAGTTTTAGACCAATATATGCTCAAACTTCAATATGAGCTTCAATGTATGCTTTATTTTTTCTTAGCCTACAAATTATTCAATTAAAAAAATACGCAAATTTCTACATGATAGGTTTGTGAAAAGTAAGCTGTTTCTCTCTGGTTGAAAGTTGTGTTCTACTTTTTAATTTAGGAATATTTCATGAGTATTACTGATCCTTAAATGAGAGTAGACTGATTCAGGTCTGCAATTTATCGCTAAAGAATGAAGTTGATTTTTATTTGGTCTTTCTTCCCTATTTACTTATTTATCGTAAGAATCCTTCTCTCAGATCTTCAACTAGAGCACTCATTCTATGCACATCCCCTAGTCAAGTTTTTTTTTTTTAATCACTTAGGTCTCATGACTGTGATGACTTAGGCAGATACTTTTTATGATATTATAAGGGATATAACTTGAAGTAGCTTGTGCTTGGAATTTCAATGTATCAGAGAATGAATGTAGAGCAAAATATGTCCCTCTGATTATCTAATAGTTCTTTGAGGCTTAGCACTTTACCTTTGCTAATTTCCCCAAATATGCAACTTCACTCATTATTCACTTCCATAATTGCCTAGGTAGCATTTCTAAGATTTACACTTACATATTTCTTGTAGAAGAGAGGCAATAATGGGTTGTAGTGCAGGGTGAAAAAGACCTAATTACCTGGGAAATTTTGTGAACATTAGTGAAAAGCTTCCCATCAGGTCAACTGGGAAAACATCACTCATTGGATAAAATGATAATATGTGAAAGTTGTAAGAGTTTAAATTTTCTACACAACATTGCTTGGGTTTCATCACTTTTGTGCCAGAGCCCACAATTTCAACTTTATTAAATAAAATGTTCTCAGTGTTCCTGGCATAATTGACTAATATGCCTGTTTTCCTGGGCATTTGAACCTCTGAATCTATGTGTTTTCATAAATATTTTAATGAGATCGTATGAGAGATTACAAAGCAGGTATTAATAGCATATATTGGAAGCCTCTGTATCCTTTTAAAAATGTTAAAATAAATAAAAAAGCATAAAGAAAATAATATAAAAGTCATAATAATTATTTAGGTTGTAAGAAATAGAAATACACACATCTTACTCAAGAAAACAACTCTGGTAAATTTTAGGCTTGAAACTTTATTACTGTTAACCTTCACTTCATAAGTGTGCTGGAAAGTGCATTATTCAAGCAGTCTGACATAGGTTAACAAGACTTAGTTTTTCTCTAAGCAATGAGAATATCATTTCTGTTTATCTAAAAAGATAAACTATAAAAGTCGTATAAATTTTAAGGAAAATAGAAATACTCAAAAATTAACAGGATTGATAGAATTTTGCCAGCTATAAAACAATAGGATTAAAAAAGGCCTTTTTGAATCCGGTGTCTGGTGTCTGAGGGGTTTTGTCCCTGGCTCATCCAGACCATTTCTTGGTTCCCTGACCGGGAATTGAACCCGGGTCGTGGCGGTGAGAGCGCCGAATCCTAACCACAGGTATAATAATAATAATAAAAAAAAAGAACAGAATTAACAAAGTTACTAGATAAATACACACACACGTGCACACACAATAAAAAAAAAAGGCCTTAGAGTCTCACATTTCAGAGTTGCAGAAAGGCAGCAAGTTGTTGAAGTTTAATAGGGAGAGCATGGTTTGGGAAATGAGAAAATATATAATGATGATAAGAAATCTTTACAGAGTGAAGCTGCTTGAACATCTTTCCATAATTTAAAAATAAGACTAGAAATATTTTCCTCTGGTTTGTAGTGGTAATAACTTACTGAACTCTGGCCCTCCTATATTGGTGAGATTGGAATGTCAAAACAAATTATATATCATATGGTTTTCATTGTCAAGATATAAACAAACACTAAATATTTCTAATTTTGGCATAATCACCCAGTCATGTGTTACAATTTTTTTTTATTTTTGTATAACATCTTTAAAGTTAACTGTGCCAAAAAAAAGTAATATAAAAGTGAGGGAAAAGTAAAACGTTGCTTTAAATAATAATCACAAAAATAGTACCTTTTGTGTGTGATCTAATTACATGGAAATTTTTACAATGGTTAAATACTTAATTCAACTAAAAAGGCAAGTATTCTTAATATTCTTATCATTTTCCCCTAAACCAACCCCAAAAAATTAATCTAGAGTAAAATTATAGTAATAAAATGTCTTTAAAACCAGTCACCTGATCTAGATGTAATTGTATCGCACTCTGTGGTACAATTTATTTTATTTTATTTATTTTATTTTATTTTTTATTTTTTTTTTAGAGACAGAGTCTCACTCTGTCACCCAGGCTGGAGTGTACAATCTCAGCTCATGGCAACCTCTGCCTCCTGAGCTGAATGAAGTGATTCTCCTGGCTTAGCCTCCTGAGTAGTTGGGATTACATGCACCCACCAGGACGCCTGGCTAATTTTTGTATTTTTAGTAGAGACGGGGTTTTGCCAGGTTGGTCAGGCTGGTCTTGAACTCCTGACCTCAGGTGATCCACCCTCCTTGGCCTCCCAAAGTGCTGGGATTACAGGTGTGAGCCACCGTGACTGGCCTGTGATACAATTTATTATGATGTTTTTAATCTGGGTAGAGTTTATTTTTATTATTATAATCATAGAGATAGAAAAATATAGATGCTTATAAATATATATATATTTTGGAGAAACTTAGAGAACTTATATATATATACACATGTTTTTATATATGTATGAATACTCTGCTTAAGGTGATAATTACTTTTTCTAAGGATACAAATTGCAAATTCTTTTCAGGATATTTTATTAAATCAAATTCACTTTCTCTAAAAGAGAACTTCTTGTGTTATCTTACTTGTATTTGACTATGAAGGGAAAGCATTTGTTTTAGGAAGTGATTAAAATCATTATTATCACTAAAATACAAATATAATATTTATTAATACTTTAATAGGCTTATATGTGTTAGGCACCATTCTAATTGCTTTATATTTATTAACTATAAATTACATTAACTTATCTAAACTTCAGAATAGCTCTTTGACATAAGTACTAAAAGTATCCCCATATTACAAATGATGAAACTGAAGAAGAAAGTTTAATTACTCCGTCAATTTTTCAAAGTTGGTAAATATTTGTAAAATACTACTACTACTAATAATAATAATAATAAATTGGCTGGTCTTTGTTCCCTGTTCCTGAGAGTAAGCCTAGAAACCCTTGAAATTTCCACAATTATAGGTGTTTCTTTGTGATTCTCAGTGAGCCACTCAGACAATACTTAATAGGTCATGTTAAAAAGCTGACCCCTGGATAGTTTATGCTAAATAGATAATTCCGGACAGTTTAAATCCATCTCTCTATTTTGCTCTATTTTGATAGGTTGATTTTATTGAATAAAGAATAATGTATGCATACCATAGAGTCTATTTTTGTGTGTTAAAAATTGTCATATTCCTATTTTGGAGAAATTTAGAGAACTTTGAAATTCTAAGTATATACCCCCAAAAGACACAGTGCTACTTTAGGCTTCATGATTATGCGGCACGTATCTTTGTCTTTGAAGACCTCAGAGGAACATAACTGAAAAGAGTGACAAGAGTTAATTGACAAGGATATACTACTTTTCAGGGTTACAGAAATTCAAGAAGCACCTCTCTTCATCTGGAAATATGTTATATGCAGGGGAGGCAGCTACTGCCTTCTCCCTTCATGAGGAATAAAGAAAAATTAACCAACAAAAAGCAAAATAAGCAAATTGTAGAATCGAACAAAAGAGTAAACTTTGAAATATATTACTACACTTTAAGAGCTCATTTGCACTTTGATTCCACATGGGAGAATCCTCATGGGAAAATTTGCTAAGTCTCATTCGTATCATTAAAGGGTCTAATAGCTTATATAAATTTTTTCAATAAAATGCAATATTAAATAGTTTATAGTAAGTGGCTTTACTTAAATTTAGCCAGGAGAATTTTACTGTGCTTTCTTTTTTTTCTTAAAGAGATTTATTATTTTATTGTCATTTAGTTATTACTGTGGGCGTATTTTCTCATGTCCTCGAGTCCAGTAAAACTACAATCATTAAATAAATTAATCCCTAAATAACAATTATATAAGGCATATATATACCTACGGTTATCATTACTGATTTTTTGCTACATTACTTTAAAATGTCTATTTAAAAATTAAAATAAAAAGTCCTGCACAAGAGACAATAAAAAAAATAGGTGAGAGGAGTTTTCATCCTAATAACATTGTTTCGCTCTTACCAAAATTAATTCAGGATAAGAATCCACATGAATCAATAGTAGGTATCCAACTTGAAATGAAGTGATTGCTTTAATGATTTCCAATACATCACATCTTATTATATTAGGTTATGACAGGTTATGCTGTGCTTCATTGGGTTACATAATATCATTCTGAATATAACTCTAAGTCTATCTAATATAAGATGATGAATCAGGAAATAAAATGACAAGGAATCATTTACTTCTAGCTCCTAAATTAGATTTTTCTGTCCACACAAAAGGGAAGCAAAGAAATCGAAATGGCTTCCAATAAGGTTTTCTCATTCTTGTCAGTGAGCACTAACCAACTACTGTCCTTAGTTCACTATGGGTAGAAATGTCTGCTGTTCCTGTAAGAATTGACATAAATGAGATAGCTTCTCTGCAAAAAGCATACATCTGACTCTCTATCAGTTGAATGTAGCTATAATCCTGTCAGAAACATTCTCTCAAATTTGAGGAATCAGAATATTGCATGTAAAAATTATTATATAATCTGAGGATACCAAGGAGACTTGCTGTGATCATATTATAGTATATTTTATGTGAAGAAACAAATTTAATAGGCATGTATAATAAGACTATAATAATCAGCATGTAACTCGCAGAATGTGGTTCTGTGTATATTCTGCAATGTGAACATAGGATGTAGAAAATTGAAAAACGGTTTTTTAATTGAAAAGAGAACATGTTTTATCTAGTTTAAAAATGACTCTAGTTTCACAAATAATTAATATGAAATGTATTCCAACATGGTGGTAGTAAAAGTCTCATCACTAGAAAAATGTTAATTTTTATTGCTTATGTAGGGAAAGACATAATCTTAAAGGGCATGTGTCCAAAGGTCTTATAGATAACTTTGTGAGAAAGATATGTCAGTGGATTACTGGTGCTGAAATGTTAAAAGCCTTAATATAAGTGAAAGAAAATGTGACACTTAATCAGTCCAGGAAAAAGAGGTTAGAATCAATGTATTTTAATTTAGCTGATCCTGTATATTTCTAATAGGCCTTCCCAAGCTGCACACCCATTAAGTGTTAAGATTTTATCAATCTACAGAGGTAAAAAAGTAGATGGATCTCATCATGAATTCAACATAGTTACCCGGAGATACAGTAGATGTTGGTGGTAAAATGCCATGATTGCGTCAACCTCTGCTTAGTTCATCTATAAGTTCGAAAAAGCTATGAACATTAAATGACCAAATTTTATTTGTTGGCCCAAGTTGGAAAAGACAAAAAAAAAAAAGAATCATCTGTCATAGTTTTTATGCTATAAAAGAGTATATACTTTTAATTAATGACTTTACCACTGTTTACAAAATATACTTGTCATCAGAGAAGCTATTTACAGATTTTGATTTCTAAAATGTGTTTTTAAGAACATTTAGGTGCAACAAAAAACAAAAAATACAGGTGTGGTCTGGATAATATTGAATAATACATCTGCTTCTCTCTTCTAGTTGGAATGTGCTAGTTTGACTAATAATTAATAAAATAACAAATAATTATACTCCTTTAGGAAGATAAATTAATATTATTTTCAGCTTATAGAATAATTTTAGCTTCAGTGTTCTGGCTACACTCCAAAACAGATGATACCATTCTATCCAGTAAAAGTCCTGGTGTGGTTTAAAAGTGATGTTAGTCTTCACTGCATTAAAATAAAATTGGTAGAGAATTTTGTATTGTCCAACCTAAGGATAACATCATTTGAAAAACGGTTAAACCAAATACCATGCCATTTGCAAAGCGTCAGGTAATTCTTTTAGATAGAAGACACTGGGAAAAATTTAAGGGCTTATAAATATCTTAACAAAATGGGAATTTTGCTGTTATGCAAAATTATGATGTTGAAAAAACAAGAGGTTTCAAAAATACATTACCATATGAGATTTACTTTTCCTTTTCAATCATTTCATATTGTCTCAAAGGTGTACTAAGCTGCTGAATTACTAAAAGTTAGCTCCACTTGCATTTTTTAACTTGTATTAAGTTTTAAAATGAATAGGTGCATCTGTTAGCTGATTCAAGTGATATAATTTATCATCCATGTGAACCCATCAGGGATATATTACTCATTTGCAGAAGACAGATACTCTATGTTGAAAATCCTAGACATCACATCTAGTAACATTGCCTACTTTTTTACTCTTATGCCATCTGTGCAGAAACAGAAAAATAGTTTTTCTCTATATAAGTTCAGCAAGGACAATTAGCCAGAAAAAAAGGAAACTTGCTGGTTATTGTGTCTGAATTTTTTTTTTTTTTTTTTGAGCTTTTAGTCATAGCTTGGTTTTCTTTACAAATTATATAGGAAATTTTATTTTTCTCTTGTCTTTCCCTTGTATGTTCATTTTTAAATTTGCTACATATTATTCTTCCTTTCTCTCTCTCTCTCTTTATATTTTTTTGTTCCTCCCTCTCCCTCTCTCTTGCACTCCACCCTCAGGTTTGTTAATGGTACCTAACAAAAAGGTCGTGCTTAATTATTTACCTAATTGGTTTATGCAGTTCCAATATTAAGAAGACTAGGAACAAATTTGATGAGTCATGGTACTTATGTATAAGGCTCCACAATAAATATTAAGTTATTTTCCGGAGATTGTTCTTTGTTAAACAGGCACATAGACTAAACATTATTAAATTGTGACTTGAAAAATACACTAAGCTAATGTTTATGAGTCTAAATGAGCAAAACCATTTTCATTGCAAATTAACCAAGATCCAGTATATTAAGATAAGAGCAACAAAAAATTCAGGAAGAATCAGTGCCAACCAAAAGTAAAACTATATACGGTATCCTGTACTTCTGTACTGCTATGGAAACAGAATACAGTCTTCAAAGAAAAACAATGTTTCACTTTGAACATTTGCCAAAGAATGTTCCATTCCATTAGACAAAACTATTGATTGGATATTGAAATCCAATAGTTGCTTTCTGTTCAATAAAATGATTTACTAAATGGGTTTGTAATATATATACATATGTTTATATACATATATACACACAAATATGTGTGTGTGTATTTATATATATGATATCAGTATCAATCCAAATTAATTTAACAAAAAAGCTGTGAATTAAGATGTAATCATAAGGATGAATAGTAGTTTAGGAAATAATTCTATAAGGTAGTATAAAATATTAAACAACATGGAAAAAATTTTTCTACAAACATTACAAGTTCTTGGCAAATGTAGTATTCAAAATGTGACAGAATATACAAAGCAGTAACTAACAGGTGTTTTAGTCCATTTTCACACTGCTGATAAAGACATACTCAAGACTAGGTAATTTATGAAGGAAAGAGGTTTAATGGACTCACAGTTCCACGTGGCTGTGGAGGCCTCACAATTGTGGCAAAAGGAGAAAGTCACATCTTACATTGTGGCAGACAAAGGAAATCAAGAGCCAAGCAAAAGGGGTTTCAAACCCTTATAAACTTATCAGATTTTGTGGGACTTATTCACTACCATGAGAACAGTATGGGGAAACAGTCCCCATGATTCAATTACCTCCCACAAGTGAGAATTATGGGAGCTACAAATCAAGATGAGATTTTGGTGGGGACACAGCTAAACCATATCACTCTGCCCATGGCCCCTCCCCAATCTCATGTCCTCACATTTCAAAACCAACCAACCAGCCTTCCCAACAGTCCCCCAAAGTGTTAACTCATTTCAGCATTAACTCAAAGGTCCACAGTCCAAAGTCTCATCTGAGACAAGGCAAGTCCCTTCTGCCTATGAGCCTGTAAAATCAAAAGCAAGTTAGTTACCTCCTATATACAATGTGGGTACAGGCCTTGGGTAAATACACCCATTCCAAATGGGAAAAGTTGGCCAAAGCAAAGGGGCTACAGGCCCCATGCAAGTCCAAAGTCCAATGGGGCAGCCAAATATTACAACTCCAAAATGATTTCCTTTGATTCTATGTCTCACATCCATGTCACACTGATGCAAAAGGGGGGTTCCCATAGTCTTGGGCAGCTCAGACTCTGTGGCTTTGCAGGGTACTGCCCACTTCCTGGCAGCTTTCACGGACCAGCATTGAGTGTCTGTGGCTTTTCCACATGCACGATGCAAGCTCTTGGTGGATCTACCATTCTGAAGTCTGGAGGACAGTGGCCCTCTTCTCACAATTCCATTGGGCAGTGTTCCAGTTGAGATTCTGTGTGAGGGATTCAATC
The DNA here is from genome assembly GCF_000001405.40 of Homo sapiens. Taxonomy (NCBI): domain Eukaryota; kingdom Metazoa; phylum Chordata; class Mammalia; order Primates; family Hominidae; genus Homo; species Homo sapiens. Next base: position 104,167,712 of record NC_000003.12, read on the forward strand.
CCACATTTCTCTTCTGCACTGCCCTAGTAGAGGTTCTCCTCCATGAGGGCCCCCACCTCTGCAGCAGACTTCTGCCTGGACATCCAGGGATTTCCATACATCCTCTGAAATGTAGGCAGAGATTCCCAAACCTCAATTTTTGACTTTTGTGTACCCAAAGGCTCAACACCACGTGGAAGCTGCAGAGGCTTGGGGCTTGCACAGCCAGAGCTGTACCTGACCCCTTTTAGCCATGGCTAGAGCAGCTGGGACGCAAGGCACCAAGTCCCTAGGATGCACACAGCAGGGGCCTGGCCCAAGAAACCATTTCTTCCTCCTAGGCCTCCTGGGCTATGATGGGAGGGGCTGCCGCAGAGGTCTCTGACATGCCCTGGAGACATTTTTCTCATTGTCTTGGAGATTAACATTTGGCTCCTTGTTGGTTATGCAAATTTATGCAGTCAGCTTGAATTTCTTCTCAGAAAATGGGTTTTTCTTTTCTATTGCATTGTCAGCCTGCAAATTTTATGAACTTTTATGCTCTTTTCCCCTTTTAAAACTGAATGGTTTTAACAGCACCCAAGTCACCTCTTCAATGCTTTTCTGGTTAGAAATTTCTTCTGCCAGTCTCTTTGCTAAAACATAGCAAAAGTAATTTTTACTCCAGTTCACAAGAAGTTCCTCATCTACATCTGAGACTACCTCAGCCTGGATTTCATTGTCCAGATCATTATCAGCACTTTTGTTAAAGCCATTCAACAAGTCTCTAGGAAGTTCCAAACTTTCCCACATTTCCTTGTCTCCTTCTGAGCCCTCCAAACTGTTCCAACCTCTGCCTGTTACCCAGTTCCAAAATTATTTCCACATTTCGGGTATCTCATCAGCCGCACCCCACTCCTGGTACCAATTTACTGTATTATTCCATTTTCACACTGCTGATAAAGACACACCCAGGTCTGAGTAATTTATAAAGAAAAGAGGTTTAATAGACTCACAGATCCACGTGAGTAGGGAGGCCTCATGACCATGGTAGAAGGCAAAAGTTACATCTTACATGGCAACAGACAAGAGAGAATAAGAGCCAAGTGAATGAGGTTTCCCTTCATAAAACCATCAGATCTTGTGAGACTCTTTCACTGCCAAGAGAACCGTATGGGGTAAACCGCCCCTTGATTCAATTATCTCCTACTGGATCCCTCCCACAACGTGTGGGACTTATGGGAGCTACAATTCAAGATGAGATTTAGGTGGAGACACAGTCAAACCATATCAGCAGGATGTTTTAGGAAAGAAAAAATTAATTTTTTTAAATTAACAAGGAAGTTACCAAATCAATGGATATTTCCTTTTTCTTAGTAATGTTTCATTGGAACACAGGGTTTCTTAGAAGATAAAGTTTTCTTACTCAAAATATTTTAAATCAAATATCATCAGTTTTTGTTTTGACTAAGGACAAAACAGTAAGAAAAGTACAAGATCTATGTAGATCTTACCTTTAGTACACAAAGTTATTCCTACCTGATTCACGTAATAAATCAGGGACACATGTGTTAGACAAAACAAAGAGAAGCTAGGTATCACAACAACATAAACACTAATTGATATTAAAGCATAGCTTTTGTTCCTGTAAACATGCTATTTTAAAGGCAGCTTTCCTCTTTAACTTAGGTGGTTCCCTTTTAAAATATGTGAATATAAGTGAAAACCAAATGATCCATGTAATTATAAATTTTTATCATCATCTTTACTCTATTTGTATAAATCCCAAAGTAGACCTGAAATAAGAGTAGATATCTATATAAAAATCAGGAAAGCTGTGGTATACTTTTATCCTCTGTCACTCAGGCTAGTTAAATTTTTATTTCTAATAATCATTAAGTTATACATTTATACAAAGAGATACATTATAAAATTTTAAGTATATCATAATTATTGACAGTGAGGTGGACAGGTAGTACGCATAAGTGAAAAATCAATTATAATGAATCACAGATATTATGGAAATTTGAGATTGTCATGTGAGAAAGGAAATATTTGAAGCAGGTCTATGTGATCCCTCTTTACCTGTGGGGATGCTGCACAAAAGGAAAAAGATCTGGTCCAATCCCTTTGCAAACATACTAATAACAGTCTTCCTGGTAAACACACATACGTGGCACTTAGTGGTGGCAGAATTCTTATATTTGTAATGCTTTTGCCATATGTACCTAGCCTGTTCACGACTGCTTGTAGAAAATAAACATCACATTTTAAGATTTATTGTGTAACTGCTTATAAAATATGATATAAACTATGCAATTATCAGCATGTAAGTTGTAAATATTTCATGAAAAAAATAGCTCCCTTTTGTGTAAATGATACTCTGCATTCATCCCTTAGGGTCATGTATGCTAAAACCAAACCATAGTACATCATAATACAACAAGAAACAACCTGAGGAGCAAAGATGGTAGTTCTGTACTTCATGCTTCCTCTATGGATCACAATTACTGTTATCTCTTCAATTTTGAAATTGTTAGTCAGCTTTGGTACTGGTGAAGAGCTCCAGTTTTTGTGGGATTTAACAATCTGAGGTTCTGAGTTTTCTCAGGTTGGCAATTTGGCTTCAAGGAGGGAATTACAGCTTCATTTTGAAGCTACTTGAGAAAAGCAATTACACTGTATTTACATATATTGTATATTTTTGGGGATTGTAATTGGAGGGTTAATGGAGATTATAAGATTTAATACTCCAAATCCATCTACTTTTTAGCACTATCATTGTAGCGTAAATAGTGTAAAAGCCTAAGCGAGTAATTCTTATGTGTAAATAGGTATATATCAATACTTTAGAAGAAGAGATGAGACTTTATTGATAGTACTTTTTCATTTCCTGTGCCATTTTATCTAGTTTAGTAGGTCACTAGTTGGGCCTGTGAAGGATATTCAGCAAATAAATAACAGATATGAGTTGATTTTTCAAATGAATATGTCCTGTGCCTCGTGGAGAAGATAAATTGCAGAAGAATATAAACATAGGCAAGGAGAATAGCTGGCAGGGGTCAAGGTGAGGACTAACTTATTGATGAGAGAATTGATATGAGATTTATATACAAATATGTTTGAGAGGTGTAGAAATATTATGAAGGGATTGGCAAGCTGTTGGATGTTGAGATTACGAATAAGGGTAAAGTTCAGGATGAATGTGGGTGTTTATTTTTCATAAGTAATATTTTTAGACAAGAGAGAAAAGAATTATAAGAGTTCTAGAATGCCATATGTTTCTCGGGTTTTTTTCATGCATTTTATTGGTATTGAGAATGGAAAGAGGGAGTTAGAAAATCTATCCTCAGTCTTAAGGAGCTAGTCAATGTGAATGGCTCTTAAACATAAATATTCACATGACCTGTTGACATCAAGCTTCTCTTTAGCTGCAGCATAGATACTGTCAGCAACCCAGTGGAATATGAGCTCTTTTGAAGGTATATCAATCACTTAATCTACTGGCAGATGCCTGAAAAAGTAAGTGTGTATGAGAACGTGGAGCATAAGGACAGGACACATCACCCTGAAAAGTCAGAGGAAACTCACATGACAAATACAATTCCAAAAAACAGGACACTTTAATATAAATAAGAGGAACAGGAAACAGGGAGGACTCAGATGGGGTTTTATAGCTAACACTTTTTGAAAGCACAGGCAATAGTACCTAAAGGAGAGATGGACGCCAGGTGAAACATGAACCACCCCTTTCCCTGCCCAGTGGAGAGAGAGAGGGGCACACTGCAGAGAGATGGCGCTCTTGTGGGTGGAAAATTTCTCCCTCAGGTGTGGCCAGTCACATGCTGGAGACAGGGAAGAAAACAGTGATGCAGGAAAGGAAGAGGTCCTCGTAGGGAGTAGGGACAAGCTGAAGCTGTATTGCTGCTGCGTACCTCCTATGTCTCTCTGGGCCAGTCTGGGGGACCTTCCTCCCATCGATCAAATGTATACAGGGCTGGGACCTGAGCAGTTCATTGAACATTCTCAGTCTTGCTAATAGATTGATCAGTGTGGTCAGCAGAGAGGTTTAAGTTTAGGAGGTTAACAAATAGAGTGGAGGACCTCACACCTGAGGTTTCTCTCCACTGTGGCTTTGGTAGTTGCCTACTTGCTTGCTCTACATTGACTTGCTGGCTGACCTTAGCCAACTTTCTTCCCCTACCTGGACTTCTGTTTCCTCATCTGTGAAGGCTTTGTCTAACCAATTCCAGCTGCAGATGGGGAAACCCAACCCTATAGGCAAGTGGCAATGATGCAGCTTTTCAAGAAGAAAACTGTGAGCTGCTCCTGGATGATCATTTCTTTTTTTTTGCCCCAGGGCTCTAGCAGCAACACATCACGATGCCCTGGCTAAAAGCTGTGTCCAACTCCTTATCTTGTCCTTGCTGCCCCCACCCAGGCTATTGTTGCACAAGTCAAGGAAGAATAAGATGCTGGCTCAGCCTTAGCACCTTGCCACTGCCCACCACATTCAGAAGGCCATTAGAGTCAGGCAGTGAGTGGGACAGGTGCCTAGGTGGGAGTCATCACCCTGGGAGCTGTTGGTGGCTGGAGGCTAGGAATGCAGGTGAGGATGCAGGTGAGGGTTTGGTGCGGGACAAGGGTGGGTGTAGGTAAGCACTTCTTCAGTGAGGCCCTATAGACAGTGCATGTGCAGGCCAGTGGGGCTGAAGAGGTTGGTGATGGAGCTGCACTTGGCCAGTGGAAAGAGGAGGAACTCTCAAGCCTGTGTCTGGATTTTCAGGCTCCTCCTCTTCCTCTCCATACACGGTTCCTGTTTTCACTGGATGCTGCTGCCCATTCAGCCTACCCACTCCACCCTCAGGAGTAGAAGTCAAAGTTCATGGCATTGGCCCAGGACCTGTGGCCATGGCCACAGACAATTACTTGGGCCTAGGTGAATCAGGTCATCTTTGTGTCCTGTCACCATGTAGTGATGGTCAAAGACCCAGCATGCATGAAGCAGGTCTCTCAGAATAGCTCTTTATGAACCTACACAAGAGTAGAGAGTTAAGACCCAGCATCTACTGTGGTTGATACTGGCTAAGTGTTGGCTATTGGCTAGAGAGCAAACTTGTTCTGTGGGCCTCACCCACCACCCACCTGACCAGTGGGTTGCAAGAGTCTTCTTTGGGCAGCATAAATGTCCATGAAATCTTCACAATTTATGTTCAGAGATTGCAGTAAAGACAGGCATAAGAAATTATAAAAGTATTAATTTTGGGAACTGATAAATGTCCATGAAATCTTCACAATTTTTGTTCCTCTGCCACTGCTCCAGCTGGTGCCTCCATTCGGGGTCCCTGACTTCATGCAACACAACATTTTGAAGATTTATCTCAAAATTTAAAAATAAGTGTACTTCTGGAAATGTTATTAAAAATTACCCATTCTGCCAAACAAAACATTATTTAAAGTATTCTACTTCACTCTTAGATTAAATTACATTTTCAAGAATGAAATAATATGGTCATAAGTAATATTATTTCACTAAATATTTAAATGGTATAAATCAGAATTTTGTGTAAAAAGATACAATTTAATGGTCAAAAAATGAACATATAGTAAAAATGCTGTGAAGACAGTGACTCTATTCATAGCAATGAATATTTTTGTGCTGAATCACATGATATAAAAATTCATAAACATAAACAGTATTTGTCAATGATATGATTATCTACTTATAAAACTTATGACAATCAGCAAAAACAATATATAGAATTAATGCACTTATAAGTATACAAAAAATAAACATTTTCTTATTTACCAGTAATAAAAATCTAAAATCTCTTAAAAATATATGTAGAAGAGCCACAGGGGAAAAAAAGGTGCTAATAGTCTTGAAATAACTTTAAGAGAACATTTTACGATTTAAAAGTTATTTGAATAAACTGAAAGATAAAAATGAGTAATAACTTTAAAGCTATACTTACTTTAAGGATAAAATGTGTAAATACTATGGCAAAATTTAAAATCCTAAAGGAATTAACTAAGAAATTCACAAAATTAATATAGTACATCAGAAAGTTTGCCAAATATAAAATAACAACTGTAAAAATCATTATCATGCATATATAGAAAAGTAACTAGGTGTAAATCATAATTGAAAAAATGTATTTCAAGAAATGCAGTAAAACAGTTTTTCCAGGAAACAAGGGTGATAGTTATCCTTTCAGGGGAAAATAATTATGTAAAGGATGATGGTGGATTAAATTGCAAAAAGCAGATACTTCTTTTCTTCTTCTATTGAAATTATAAATGGAAGGTAAAATAATGTGCTCCAATTATCATTTCCAAATAAGATGGAGTGCTTTGGGCAGACCAATCAAATTATATCTGAGAACATCTAGAAAACTAAATAAACTACAAAATTCATTTAGGTAAGTGCCCCAAACTAGGACTCTATACCCAACAAAATAGATCCTTCTAGAAAAAATTAAAATAGTATATATAAACAAATACCAACTATCAGAAATAATTATTGTAATATTGGGTTATAAAATATATGCAAATGAACATAATCCAAAATGAAAGAAGGAGGAAAATATTTTTCTATTTAATTTAATTAATTTATTTATTTTGAGACGGAGCCTCACTCTGTCACCAGGCTGGAGTGCAGTGGCGCAATCTCGGCTCACTGCAACCTCCACCTCCTGGGTTCAAGCAATTCTCCTGCCTCAGCCTCCCTGGCAGCTGGGACTACAGGTGCCTGCCACCACGCCCAGCTAATTTTTATATTTTTAGTAGAGACAGGGTTTCACCATGTTGGCCAGGATGGTCTCCATCTCTTGACCTTGTGATCCACCTGCCTTGGCCTCCCAAAGTGCTGGGATTACAGGCGTGAGCCACCATGCCCTGATGGAGGAAAATATTTTTAAATGCTCTGAAGTTCTAGTATAATCTGAGTGGTTAAAATAAATATTTTTATCATATAGTAATAAGGCAAGCATTAAACTATCATCATTAAGGTAATCACTAGAAAAAGAGTAAAATATAATTTAAAAATTAATAAAGGAAAAATGTAAAATATATTATTAATCCTAATTAAACCAAGAAAAAAGATGAAAGAAGCTATGTAACTTAATAGATCAACTATAGCAGTTTAGTAATGCTAGATGGTAGAATATTAGTCAAAATAGAATACTGGACAATGTAGTATATAAGGCAAGAACTACTACTACAAATAAAGAGGGATATTTAATAATGACAGCAAACAATGTATCAGGAAGATTTTAGTCCAATATTCATCCCAATAGCATAGTTTTCAAAATTTATTTTTTAATTAAAGAAAATAAAAAGAAATAGACCAACTCACAACCATATTAGAAGATGTAAATACTACTTTCTCAAATGTTTATTAAATGAGTAGCAAAACTAATCTATAAATATAATAAAGAAGAACTAAATAGGCATTCCTAAATATAAAAAAAAATTTTAAACTGCTTCATTTCCAGAATAAAACTACATATATTCAAGTGTATATATAAAAACCTATATATGTTATTTTGTTTTATTATATATAGTTTAATTTTGCTTTATGATATATAATAAGTTATATGCTTTATTATAAGGAATTGGCTCATACATTTGTGGAGGCTGAGAAGTCCCATGATTTGCTGCCTGCAACTTGGATACCCAGAAGAAGAGGTGGTGTAGTCCTAGTCTGAGTTTGAAGGTTGAGGTATGAATTTGAAATATTTTTTATATATACATATAATATTTCAATTATTTGATTATTTGACATATTTGAAATATATTTCTATATTATATAAATATTTAAAATATTTATATATTTATAAAATGTTTCAAATAGGATATATATATCCTATTGCTTCTATTTCTTTGAAGAACTCTACCAACCAAGAATTTAATCTACCTCTTTATTCATCCAAAGTCTAACAAATATTGGAGAATGTAAAAGGACCTGGGAAACTAAAGCTAGCTATCACAAAATGTGAGAACCTTCTAAAATATAGAAAGAAGAATTTATCAGACTAAATTGAAGACGCAGATGAGGCTACATCCTAAGAAACAAGTATTAATTGCAGCAATTTCCAGATCAGTTCTAGGAAGTGTTAAAATTCATCAACAATCTCCCTTTCTCTCTCCAAGAGGACTCAACATCAGCAATGATTTGTGTTCTTAGGCTAATTGCAAAGGCAATTCACTACAGAAAGTGAGCACCTGTCCTGCTGGGTCATGAGTGGGAAGTGAGCAGCATGCGAAGCAATTCTCAAAGAGGGTAAAGCAAGACTATAAAGGCAGTCCTAAGTAGAAGTATTTTAAACTGCTCATTTCCAGAGTAAAGCTCCTTAAATATGGCAAATATCGATCCCCCAACTAACCCATCTGTAAGAAATCCTGCTATTGATAGCTCCTGAATCCTTTTCACTGAATCCTTCTTGAGGCTGCTTATTCAAGGGTTCTCAGAGATTCGCAATAAATCATGCAGATGGCCTATTCCAATAGAGGACTTTATTCATGCAAACGAAGGAAGTAGGGAAATCAAGGTAACCAAGATGAAGAAACCAAACAAGTTACTTCAGAGGAAATAGAAGTAATTCTAAAAAACAGAAGAGAGCTTAAAAGCAAAATTTATCAGGTAGAGATGTGAAGGAGATAAAGTGTTTCCAAAACCAAGAATAGTCTAGAAAAGAAAGTGAACAATTTGATGACAGCAAAAAAATTAAAAAAGTTATGAGAATATATTGCCATTAAAATTTTTGTTGTATAAATGTATGCATAAGTAAATTAAAAATGTGATTGTTCTGAGCTTTCTATTAACCGACTGATTAAAACAGATGTAAGTGGCTAGACAGGTATGTCTGAAAAATTATTTTTCTTCTCCTGACTCACTGACATTTGTATTCCTTTAACTGGGAATGTAGGCATAACCTTGAGTTACATTTATTTTTATGTTTAGCCTTTCATCTTCCACTTTGAGCTCTATGCCTTGGAAGTGACCAACAATTTTCATTTCAACTATGTTCTTTTCAAAGAACCCCTATTTTTTATTATAACTTTTGTTTTAGGTTAAGGGGTGCAGATGCAGAGATTTGTTCTATAGATCAACTCCATGTTGTGTGGGTTTGGCCTGCAGATTTTTCTGTACACCAAAAAAGCCTTGAATTGATATCCTCTATGTACACATTCCAATGTGCATAATACCTTCTTCAAGAACTGGAGAGATGATAGATTTGACATTTTCTTGAGATTATTCATCATTTTTGAGTGCCTTCAGGCTAGAAAGGAGGATGTCTTTAGTCCCTAAGTAGAAAAGGAAGAGGTTATATGTATATGAAATGATGTATATGTATATAAAATATAAATATAAACTTATTTCATATACATATAACCTCTCTCTCGATATATATATATATATATACACACACACACACACACACATATATATAAAAGTGTATCTATGTATATATAAATTGCAAGGGCATGATTTTAAAGGGCAGTATGTAAGTACTCACTAGTAAATCTTATTATATTATTATATTCTGGTTGTTTGCTTCACTGTGGCACAATTCTAGCCCATTTGGGACCTTATGTTTCAGGTAGTAAGCATAGTACCTTATAGATAGATATCTTTTCTGATCCTCTCCCTCCTCCTGCTCTCCACTCTCAAGTGGGCCCCAGTCTCTGTTGTTCCCCTCTTTGTATCCAAGTGTTCTTGTTGTTTAGCTCCCACTTATAAGTGAAAACGTGGTATTTGGTTTTCTGTTCCTGCATTAGTTTGCTTAGGATAATAGCCTCCAGCTCCTTCAATGATGCTGCAAAAGACATGCTTTGTTATAGCTACATAGTATTCCATTGTGTATATGTACTTCATTTTCTTTATCTAGTCTACCATTGATGAGCATTTAGGTTGATTCCATGTCTTTGCTATTGCAAATAGTGCTGCAGTGAACATTTGTGTGCATGTGTCCTTCTGGTAGAGCTATTTATATTATTTTGGGTATATACCCAGATACAGGACTGCTGGGTTGAATGGTAATTCTGTTTTAAATTCTTTGAGGAATTGCCACACTGCTTTCCACAATGGCTGAACTAACTTACACTCCCACCATCAGTGTATAAACATTTTCTTTTCTCTACAACCATGCCAGCATCTGTTATTTTTTTTTACCTTTTATAATAACCATTCTGACTGGTGTGAGATGGTATCTAATTGTAGATTTGATGTGCATTTATCTAATGATATAAATTGCTTATAGATTCTGGATATTAGACATTTGTCAGATGCACAGTTTGCAAATTTTTTCTTCCACTTTGTAGAGTGTTTGATTACTCTGTGGATAATTTCCTTTGCTGTGCAGAAGCTCTTTAGTTTAATTAGATTCCATTTGTGAATTTTTCTTCTTCCAATTGCATTTGGTGTGTTCATCATGAAACCTTTGCCAACATCCCATGTCCAGAATGGTATTTCCTAGGATGTCTTCCAGGGTTTTTATAGTTTTATGGTTTCATATTTAAGCGTTTAATTCATCTTGAGTTGATTTTTGCATACGGAATCCCTAACTGTGTTTTTCCTGGTAGTGGCCCTTCTAGTTACTGTGTAATTGCTTTCACTATCTTTCTTACATAATGCATTTGCCCACCTATGAGAAACTTGTTTTTAAATTCTCTCTGATTTTGTAAGAAAGAAACATGGCAGTTATGCTCACTTTCCTTATCTTTAATGTCAGGCCTACTTCCAATAACCTCTATGGGAGATGTTCTTCTCTGATATTCTTACAACATCAGTGTTATATTGCAGTCTGATTAGCATCTGTATTAGTCTATGTTCATGCTTCTAATAAAGACCTACCCAAGGCTGAGTAATTTATAAAGAAAAAGAGGTTTAATGGACTCACAGTTCCTTGTGGCTGGGGAGGACTCACAATCATGGTGGAAGGCAAAAGACAAGTCTAACATGGTGTCAGACCAGAGAGAATGAGAGAATCAAGCGAAAGGGCTTTCCCCTTATAAACCCATCATATCTCATGAGACTTACTTTCTAGCATGAGAACAGCATGAGGGAAACCGCCCCCATGATTCAATTATCATTCACTGGGTCCCTGCCACAACACATGGGAATTATGGGAGCTACAATTCAAGATGAGATTTGGTGGGGACACAGCCAAACGATATCAGAGTCTATTTCACAACTGAAGAAATAGTAGCCCAGTTCAAGTGGCATGTCTGTGAACACAAAGCTGTTTTATTGCATAATCAGAATTTGTAATTCAGATGTGGTTTATAATTTAGGGCTTCTCACGCATACTACATAGTTCATTTTCTCAATATTCAGATGAAGAAGCAACTTAAGAAAGATTAGCAGGTTTGATAAAGTTTATGCCATGAGTTTTTATCAGTTAAGGGGGTAGATTCTGTTTTGAACACCAAAAATGATAAATCATCTATCTTATAATATTAATACACATTTAATTTATCATTTCTAGTCTTGTTTTTGTCCCCCCACAACGTAATACAATTTAGAAGAGTAACATTTGTGAAAATATTGAACTTACACCCTTAAAAATTAATTAATTTAAATAATTGAAACAGAAGCTATAATAAGATAATTTTACCAATATTATGATATGCCAAATGGGTGAATTATTTGGGTTGTTAAAATGCTATTTATGCTCTTCAAAAAGTACTAATTAAATCTTATTTTTGGAGATGTATATTTGATTATTAATCTATCTTTTGTATACAGAAGTGACACTGTTTCATGGATTATGCAAATATTAATTTTTTTACTCCTTGTAATCTCCTTGTGATGTAGGCAGCACTATTATCTTCAAAATACAGAAAAAGAAACTGATACCAAGACAGGCTGATTAATCTCCCAAAGTTATAAGCTAATAATTAGAAAAGCTAGGATTTAATGATAGGCTGTTTAGCTTTCAATTTTCTACTCTTAATAATTATGCTATATTGCCTCCAAACTATGAAAAAAAACATATAAATGTAGAAAAACTGTTTCCAGTCTTTTTGCTTGCTTTACAAATCTCTTGACAAGAGAAAATGCAAGCAATGAATGTAATATTATTTTAGTATTACCATCAGTGCAATATATAAGAAGAACAACTTGAAATAAAAAGTTAAACTCAATGTAACACAAGCTATTGAGAATGAATGAAATAAAAACTATTTGTTTCTGTTATCAATGCCATGTCCTTTTCTTTATTAATACAAATAGAAAAAGAAACTATCCACTAAGGTAAAGCCTTGAATTAATATCCTATATGTAAACATTCCATTATGCTCAATAGGTTCTTCAAGAACTGGAGAGATGATAGATTTAACATTTTCTTGAGATTATTTATCATTTTTGAGTGCCTTAGGCTAGAAAGGAGGATGTCTTTAGCCCCTAAGTAGACAAGAAAAAGGTTAAATATATATAAAATCACTTTATAAAGATTGCAAGGGCATGCTTTCAATAGGCAGTAAATAAGTACTCACTAGTAAATCTTATTATATTATATTCTTGTTGTTTGCTTCATCAAGGCACATTTCTAGCCCATTCAGGACCTTACAATTTTTTTTTCAGAACCAAGATTAATATATACCAGTCCTAGACTGATATAGGCAGACTATACCTTACTGATTATTTGAGGTGAGGAATAAAATTTGGTCTTAAAGGATGGTGATACATAACTTGGCAGAAACATGGAGAGGAAGACCATGGTTTCCGAGAAAGGACAATAATGAAGACAGGGATATGCATATTAGGTAAAGAGCCAGATAATAAATATTGTAGGCTTTGTAGGCAACACATAGCCTCTGTCGTATATTTTTTCTTCTTTTTTTTCCCAGCCATATAAAAGTGTTTTAAAAAATACACTCTTAGCTGGAGGACTATGCATAAATTGTCAATGAACTAGATTTGGCCAGTGGCCCACAATGTGCCAATCCCTTATTTAAATGACTGTGGAATTGTGCCTGACTAGATTGGAGATTTAATAGTGGATAATAATGGCAGAGAAGGGCAGAAAGAATAGATGAGGCCAGATTATTAAAAATATTGAAAGTCAGAACGAAGCATTGAACTTGGATTAGATTCTTTTTCTCTAAACATAAAGGTGAAAGTATTTATCCTCCAATTCATTTAAGATCGCTTTAGCATTAAGCCAAATTGTTCTCATCTGACCCCAGGAAATCAAATGAAGGATGTTTTAATTAAAGAGGAACATTAAATCAAGTTTTGTTTCATCTCTTATTGAGTAGAGCCAAAACTTTTTAAAAGTTTTCTGTTTCTTCTGAAGGTGAACCTTTTAATGAAATACAATGATTGCTAGTGTTAATATTCTGACCTTGTATGTTCTGATGCACAAACTAAATGAAGACCATATGTGGTGGTTTTCTTTGGAGATGATGTGTATTTTTGTACTTGTGAAATCAAGAGGACTGTTATTGAAACTCAACTCCTAAATTTTCTATTTGCTCACAGCTGGGGTGTCCCTGGGTCCTGGGAAGCAAAAAGCACATGCTTAGTGTTAGAGTTTCCCAGTCGAATTTCAGAGGCTTGAAAAGTTCCTGCATCCTGACAGCATCTTTATTACCTGTACTTGAGAAATCTCTAGATGGTGTCTTTTCTAGCTATGCATATATATTTAGAAAATAAAATAATTGCTATAAATAATTATTTTATTTTTTAAAAGTTAGCGATTTAAAAGTGCTAATTACTGAAATGAGAATTACAGGATAGTGAAGAGTGAACAAGTCCAGAAAGTGAGATACTAGGATGTGTTAAAATACGTAGAAAAAAAAAGAAATCAGCCAAAATGTGGAAATTAGGTTTTGATTATATAAATACAAATTAAACTTATTATTTGCGAAATACCACCAGTGTGAAATAATGACTTAAAAAGTCATATAATTTCTTGAAGTTCAAAGAATGACACACTTTTCTTCATGTCTGTGAATTTTTAATTCCCAGTTATTCTAGCTGCCTGGATGCAGGGTAGAAACTCATTGGACTGGGAGTCATAGATGTTGGAGGGCAAGTCCAACTTCCTCATGAGCAATATCATTTGTTATATATCTATACTTTTATTTAATAATATGAATATTTCCATCTATACAAAAGACATACTCACTTATATGTGATGGGATACAATTATTGCCCTAGGAATGAAGTAATCCATACAATTTTGGAAATAATAGATTCACAACTAAATAATTACAATGTAGTTTGACATTTTAATAGAAAAATGTGCAGAATATATAAAGGAAATACTGACTGGGAGTGTGGACATAAGAGGGAATCCTCAGAAAGTTATCACTAAATAATGACATTTTACTCTCTTTAAAAAGTCATAGGATTTTGTAAGACAGAAAAGATAAATAGACTACAATAGTAAACTTCTCCCCTCTTTAAGGACAACGAATTTTACTCCTAATGTTCAATTTAGTGTAGGTGTTTTGTAAACAAATATATATATTCACATATGTATATAAACATATATATGTACACATATATATTTAGAAATTGCATTCTGTTTTGCAATGACTTCCATTGTCAACAGAAATATCAGGCGTACGATTATTCAGTATATAAGTTTATTATGTTCAATTTTACCTTAAGAAAAACTGAGAATATAGGACAAGGTTCCTACTGTTCCAAAAGCTTTCAAGATTTTTGTTGTTGTGGTGCTACTTATTTGTTAATACAGATGTACAACGAAATAATAAATGAGTTTTAGCAAGTATAGAAAAACAACTTTTAAGCGTCACTTCTTTTAGAAGTTCAGTAAGAGTTTACAAGTTAAATCAGCAACCACACTTTCAACCAAAACACACACAAACATAAATCCATTAAATATTTTTTTAAATCAACCAAAATGTTCCTTAATTTTAAAAAGCTAGAATTGTGAATAAGTTTAACTCATCCCTTCTAATTTGTAATATATATGGACACATTTATCCACAATGCGTTTAAATAAAGTTATTGTGGTAAATGCATTATCTGTGCAGTTCCCCATAATGTTTTTTGTCTTCTACAAAAAAATGCTGTATTTTGAGCAATAATTAGAGTTTGGTATTACTTCTTATTGTTTTTTTTTATTTTGAAGACGAACCAATTACCTTTCTAGAGCAATGCTAGCAAACTTTTCAAGTGGCACCATCACCTAAAAAGTTTATTTTCTGATCTTTTCTGAGCATCCTGAAGTTTTCACATGGTAGTAATTGACATTGTGAGATTTTAGGCACCTCAATTTGATGTTCATATGACTTTGGAGCGTGTTTTAACATAGGAACATTAAAACACAGTTAACATAGGCTAACCTGGAGATAAGCCATGGTTATATTTGGAAGATTTTTGTTGTTACTCCTACTTTGAAGTTCTATTTAAGAGTTATTGCTTAGTTTTCCTCTTGTTTCTAATTGCTTAAATATAAAAAAGCTAGGAAATTTCAAAATTTTATTATTTTAGTGAATACCTAGGGCATAAGAAGAAACAAAAACCATGCCAAGGAAAAAAGAAATAAGAGAGGAAGGAGAAAGGAGAATATAAAGTAAAATAAAATGAAGAAATAAAACAAACATGATGCTAAGACATTTAGCCAAAATTTTTTTCTGTAGCTGCGTGGCATCTGGGGATGAGGACTACCATCTCCCTTTACCTATCCGCCACAGGAAATAAATTTGTCTTCTAAAGTGAGATAACTGCTTTATTCACTGCTATACTTTAATGAATATATTTTTAATTTGATACCAAAATGCAATCTGAAATTTTTCAGAGCAAAACTTGCATATCACAGCAGGAGTGAGAAAAAAACTGAAGGTCAAAGGGGAAATTCTTCATGCTAGAACTTGTTTTTATAAACTACGCCAATATCCACAAAATCACTGGTGCTCACACTTGATGGAGAGGACACAATGAAAGAAAAATTTCAGAAGAGAGCATAATAGCTATATACACAGTCTCATGTACAAAGTACTGTTCAAAAATCATTCTCCCCATTGCGTTCATTTTTTATTAGATCAGTCATAATAATTTACTGGAGTAATAACTAGTAATTTACTAGAGTAATAACTATAAACTAGAACATATTTTCTTGATTCAACGCCATTTAAAATTTTTGTACTATAAACACCTTTTGAAAGAATTTTCATTAAAGCCACACATTATATCTATTTTACATAGTTAAGAAAGACCTATTAAGTTCAAGTATATGGCATTGAAGAAACAATTGGTATGTTTAAGACAAAGAGCATCAGGAGAGATCAAGCACAGATATATTTTATTACATTTAAATTGAATTAGTATTCAGTTTTCTATGTTACTCTATTTAAAGTAGTACTGCCACAAAACAAATTATAAATGCCTTTTATTGAGAGAAAAACTTCTTGAGTTTGTCACAGATATGTATGAATATACCTTCTGGATTCTTTAAATTTAGTCCTTCTAAGAAAGAGCACTGGTCGGGAGCAGCGGGGCTCACGCCAGTAATCCAAGCATTTTGGGAGGCCGAGGTCGGCGGATCACCTGAGGTCAGGAGTTCCAGACCAACCTGGCCAACATGGTGAAACCCTGTCTCTACTAAGAATAAAAAAATTAGCAGGGCGTGGTGGTTGCTGCCTGTAATCCCAACTACTCGGGATGCGGAAGCAGGAGAATAGCTTGAACTCATAAGATGGAGGTTGCAGTGAGCCGAGATTGCACCACCGCACTCCAGCCTGGGTGACAGAGCGAGAATCCGTCTGAAAGAAATAAAAGAAAAAGAAAAAGAAAAAAAGACAGAAAGGAAGAGCACTACAGTCTGATGTTAAGATCATGCTACTATGTCAGGAAGTTTAAGCTGTGATACAATTACTATCGCTAATTCACCACATGACCTTGAAAGACTCATTTAAAATATTTTAGTGTTTCTTTTTTATCTATAAATTGAGAACTTTAGAATAAGCTGTTTCCTCACCTATTAGGTTGGTGCAAAAGTAATTGTGGTTTTGCCATTGAAAGTAATAGCAAGGCCGGGCGCGGTGGCTCACGCCTGTAGTCCCAGCACTTTGGGAGGCCGAGGCGGGCGGATCACGAGGTCAGGAGATCGAGACCATCCCGGCTAAAACGGTGAAACCCCGTCTCTACTAAAAATACAAAAAGTTAGCCGGGCGTAGTGGCGGGCGCCTGTAGTCCCAGCTACTTGGGAGGCTGAGGCAGGAGAATGGCGTGAACCCGGGAGGCGGAGCTTGCAGTGAGCCGAGATCCCGCCACTGCACTCCAGCCTGGGCGACAGAGCGAGACTCCGTCTCAAAAAAAAAAAAAAAAAAAAAAAAAAAAAAAAAAAAAAAAGAAAGTAATAGCAAAAACTGCAATTACTTTTTAAGCAACCTAAATACAACGTTTGTCACTTTAGGAGCTGACACTGTACCAAGAATATTGAGCTATTCTCAATATTTTAGTCTGCTAAGATAAGAGAACATCATTAAAATTTAATCAATTTAATGTGATTCCTGATCACATGATCTCATGTTATTTGATCAAGTTAGAAGGTAAATGTCTGTTTATTCTATTTTTTGGCAGTGAAATATTTTGGGAATATGTGGTTCTTGTGGAAGAGGGGAATAAAAGAAATTTATCTGAGGCACAAAAATATTATACTTTTAGTTTAAATACTTTGCAAAAAAACTTTCATGGTTCAAAGGTGTTTTTATATTTTACTTCAAAGTGTCATGTTTCCAGGGTTTTTTGCTTGTTTTTATGCTACATCAAATTGGTTCATTTATGTATTGTCTACTAATACATATATAAAACCAATACTGCAATTAGTTTAGTTGCTTAGACTTGTTTGTATATATAATGTAGTCTAATTCATTTGATTACATGGAAGTTAGCATTTAAATTTCATGATAAAATCACCACAAAATTATATACCAGATAAATACATCGTATAGTTTGCATTATTTGCTAAACATAATGAATCAGATATCTCTCACTAAGTATTTATTTTTTTACTCTTTTCCTGTGACCATTGTCAGCAAAGTTTTTCTGACTCAATGAAAATTTTCATCCTATTTTATTCCCTTATGCATTTGTAAAAGTGACTATAGACACACTCTTTAATTTTCAGTGTCATTTTTCTTAGTTACTTGCATATTTCCTGACATTCCTTGGTTAAATATTAAAAGCATATAGTGGAGAAACATTTGTATTGACTGTAATATATCTTACAGCTTGGGTGGTGCAAATAATTTTTTATCAATACTCAGCCATTAGTTATAGTTGCCTCTTTTCTCAATATGAAACATTTAAAGTCATAAATATTTCATAGTACAATTCCAGATATTTATTTAATATTTTGAACAGAATTAAGTCAACATTTAATATATTTATACAGAGGTGATTTGAATATTCTTTATTTTAAAAAATGTCTATATGTAGATAATCCATTTTCCTAATTATTAGAGTATAATGATATAAAGTATAAAGGATTTTGCTTTAAATATATCTGTAATTTGATCTTTAAGAAAAATAATTGTGAAAGAGTGAGGCAGTTTTTATTACTTAGGGAGGCAATTTAATGTACTAGAATAGATCATAGATTTGATGTCAGACAGATTTGGATTTTTTCTTTAGTTTTGATAGTGAAAAATCTGACAGATCCTGAGCAAGTTTATTAATAATCCTAATTCTTAAATCTTCAACTGTAGAATAAAAATGATGGCTTCTAATCCACAGGTTGTTTTGAATATTAAATCAGCTTATCTGTAAAACAATTATCAAAGTCCTGTTATTTATTTAAAACTAAGTAGAGTGCATCGGTTGTCAATATGTATTTAAATAAGCTGGATATGTTTTTAAAAATTAAAGAAAAGCAGGGATTGTGTGGCTTGTGAAATAGCATGGCCAACACAATCGGATTATAGAGAATATGCTCCTTCACATTGATTTATTTAGAATCATTTTTCCTTTGCTTTACTGCAATAGCACTTTGCCCTTATTTATACTTGGATACATGGATGTACTGCATAATGGTAAATTCTGGGCTTTTAGTGTAATCATCACATATTAGTGTACATTGTGCCCATTAGGTAAGTTCCCATTCTTCACCTCCTTTCTATGTTTCTGAGTGTCCAAGCTCTATTATTTCATTCTCTCTGTCAATATGTACATATTATTTATCTCCCACTTATAAATTACAACATGTGGTATTTGACTTTCTGTTTCTGAGTTACTTCACTTAAGATAAAGGCTTCCAGCTCCCTCCCTGTTGCTGCAAAAGACATGATTTCATTCCTTTTTATGGCTGAAGAGTAGATAGATAGATAGATAGATAGATAGATAAATAGATAGATAGATGATAGATAGATAGATATAGCTATAGATATAGATATATAGATATATATCTCACATTTTTTGATGCAATCATCCACTGATGGACATTTAGGTTGATTGCAATATCTTCGCTATTGTGAATAGTGATTCGATACACATACCAGTTCAAGTATCTTTGATATGACGATTCCTTTTCTTTTGGGTAGATGCCCAGTAGTAGGATTGCTGAACCATATTGCATTTCTATTTTTAGTCCTTTGAAAAATCTCCATAATCTTTTTCACACGTGTTGTACTAATTTGCATTCCCATCAACAGGGTATAAGTGTTCCCTTTTCTTTACATCCTTGACAACATCTGTAGTTTTAGTTTTTTTAACCTTTTAATAATAGCCATTCTGATTGGTGTAAAATGGTATTGCATTGCTGTTTTAATTTGCATTTTTCTGATGATTCATGATGTTGAACATTTTTTCATATGCTTGCTAATTTTTAATATGTTTCTTGCAAAATGTCTGTTCATATCCTTTGCCAACTTTTTAATAAGGTTATTTATTTTTCTGTTGAGTTGTTTGAGTTCCTTACAGATTCTGGATATTCGACCTTTGTTGAATACATAGGATGAATTAGTTTAATTAAGTCCAATTTGTCTGTTTTTGTTTTTGTTGACTTTGCTTTTGAATTCATGCTTAGTCATGAATTCTTTGCCTAGGCTAACATCCAGAAGAGTTTTTCCTAGGTATTCTTCTAGGATTTTTATAATTTAGGGTCTTACATTTGTCTTTAACCCATCCAGAGTTAGTTTTTGTATGTGGAAAGAAATAGGGGTCCAGGTTCATTCTTCTGCAAATGCCTATCCAATTTTCCCAGCACTGTTTATTGCATAGGTGTCCTTTCCTCAGTATATACTGAGGTATATACTTTGGTATACTTTGTCGAACATCAGTTGGCTATAGGTAAGTGAATCTATTTCTGGGTCTTCTATACTGCTCCCTTAATCTATGTGTCTTTATACTAGAACCATGCTGTTTTGGTTACTATAGCCTTGTAGTATAATTTGAAGTCACATAACGTAATGCTTCTGGCTTTGTCCTTTTGTTTCAGATTGCTTTGCCTATTTTGGCTCTCTTTGGTTTCATATAAATTTTAGGATTATTTTTCCTACTTCTGTGAAAAATGATGCCAGTGAAGAGCAAGTACATTGAATCTGTAGATTGCTTTGGTCACTTTAATATTATTAATTCTTCCAATCCATGAGCATGGGATGTTTCCCATTTGTTTGTGTCATCTGTAATCCTTTTCATCAATGTTTTGTAGTTTTTTTGTAGAAATCTTTCACCTCCTTTGTTAAATATATTCTTATTTTTTGTATAGGTATTGTAAAATCCTCAACAAAATACTAGCAAACCAAGTCTAACAGCACATCTAAAAGGGAGGACACCAAGATCAAGTAGGGTTAATTCCAGGGATGCTAGGATTGTTTAACATATGTAAATCAGTAAATGTGATACACAACATAAACAGAAATCAAAAACAAAAACCATATAATCATCTCAATTGATGCAGAAAAAGCATTTGTTAAAATTCAGCAATGTTTCATAAAACTCTCAACAAACTAGGCATAGAAGGAATGTAACACAAAATAATAAAATTCATATACAACAAACACACAGGCTACATCGTACTGAGTGGGGAAAAGTTGAATGCATTCCCCCAAGAAACTGAAATAAGGCAAAGACACCAATTTTCACCAGTCTTATTCAACATAATACTGGAAGTCCTACTCAGAGAAATTGGACAAGAGAAAGAAATAAAACGTATCCAAATTAGAAAAGAGGAAGTCAAATTTTCACTGTTTGCTGATGGTAATATCTCATACCTGGAAAACCCTAGTTATCTCCTTTTAACTAAAAGCCCTGAATTAAATCTTATATGTGTTAGAAAACAGGTGAATCAACCATGAAAATATGGCTGGAAATGTAGTTTTCAAGGAGTCTTTCAACCAATTATAAAATCATGGCTCAGCGCTGGACTAGAGTGATGTCCTCATTAAATACCTTCCCAACCCAGGTCCACGGTATTACTTGGTATTACAAGCTTATTATAAGATTATATACAAATTATTGACCACTTATTTGCTTCTAGAGCAGTGTTTTCCTGGAATTTTATTCATATAATTTCAGGTAAAATCTACTGAAATAAAAGTGAATAATATAAATACTTTACCAAATAGAGACTAGCTCCAAGTCAATAAAATATGGAAGGAATATTTTTCTAGTAGTTGTTACTATACAAAAAATGGTTTGTCCTTTTGTGCTGTATGAGCCTTTTAACATCTTTCTTTAATGAACACAAAACAAAAATAATTCATGGCTGAAGAACAAAAAAGGATAATGAGAATGAGAAGAAAAGAACTTTTGAGAAGCAGGTTATCTTCCCTTTCAACTTATAATACACATAGGTGGAAAGATGAAGGAATCACTCTTTAAGATATTCAGTCCTGTGTTACAAATAATATTCTCAGTTACTTTTCTTCTCTTTATTAATAATATTAATGCGATATGAGAGACAGAACATCTGTGGATAACATCATTTTCCTTTAAATTGTATTCTACCAGTGCTTTACTTTTCTTTCTAAATTGTTGCTTTGCAACAAAGTAAATTTCCAAATAATTCTTAACTTTTATGGTTATTAACCTTGATATAATGCATTATTTTATCAAGATTTGACATTTTTTAACATTTCTGCTTCTGGAGAGGTTTAAAATGAACAACTGAAAATATTATTGCCATTTTTCTCCTGCCTATATGCATTTTCACTGAGAGTTGGCATTGGTTCATTAGGATTTTAACAAGGTAAAAGAATAAATAATAATCCTGTTTTAAGTTTAAATTTTTTTCCCTATCAATCAGTGGTCTTTTTATGATCTACTTCATGTGGTTAAAATATTGAAATAATCTAACTCAGATACACACCAATTCAATCTTTTCAGGAAGAACTTATAGAACTGATCTTGAAACAAATAATTTAACCATAAAAAGAGATTTATGGTTATGATTAAATTATCTAGTGAAATGAAGACTATGGTAAAAATGAAGAGATCTATGAGGTACCCACATTTATATAAACTTCAACAATTCTCTCTTGATTCTCTCTGGACATGTGTATACATATATGTACATATATACGAACAGAGAGGAGTTTAAAAAACTCATTCATTGAAGAATGAACCCT
The DNA here is from genome assembly GCF_000001405.40 of Homo sapiens. Taxonomy (NCBI): domain Eukaryota; kingdom Metazoa; phylum Chordata; class Mammalia; order Primates; family Hominidae; genus Homo; species Homo sapiens. The sequence continues at coordinate 104,190,221 of NC_000003.12, forward strand.
CTTAAAATAGATTAATCACTTGAGAACTAATATCAGTAAAGTTATGAGACAAGTATTACTAGGAAAACTTTCAGACTGACTTGTTTTGTTGTTTTTTATTGGTTCTTTGGGAAGTAATTTTTTGTCTGGAAAAAAATGTGTTGTAATTTTTATGTAGTTGGAGATGCTCTATCACAAAATAGAATTTTAATTATATTGCAGTATGCGTTTATTATATTTCAATTAGCCAATTTCTAAGAAATATTAGAAGTAAGTTTTGAATAAGTAAAACAGCATAATTGTTTTTTGGACCGTGATATGGTAGCTAGTATAGAACCCATTCCCACAATAAGTAAGAATATCAAATAAAATACATGACACCAGTTTTCAGACATTGTACTACTGTCAGAACAAAGTTGTGGTCTATTTTAGAGTGAAAACATGCCAGGTGAGATTTAGGATTGCCTTTGCTTTCTTTCTGGGAACACAATCAGAATGAGCTGTAAGGAGATTGAATTCAAGCAGAACATAATATTCTTATCAGCAATAGAAACAGCCACCAGAATGTGAGCCTGCTGTGGATGAAGGAAGTTGGAGGGTAAAGTATCAAAGAGATGGAAGCTGTAAAGAGAAGGAATTCCAGAAATGTAATAATGTCCCATTTGGTCTTTGAACAATGACTAAGAGTGCCTACACTAACCAAGACTCTACAAGGCCTGGCAGGAAACAGCTGCTGGTAATCTCTGACTTGAAGGGAGACTGTAGTTCACTTGGGTCTGAGAGACATAGGAGTTTCACATAGCTAGAGTAAGGAAAACTCACTGCACATCTAAATTAAAGACTACTTTGTATCTACCTTAAGAAAGATTAAAAACAAATCTTGTTATATAGATGAATGTGACCCATTAACTTCCTGTGAGCAAAAAAGCATTTTTAAGGAGACTCAGGCATCCACACTATCCAGCATATAATTTAAAATCAGTGGAAGTAAGAAATGAGAAAATGAGACTTCTAAGTAGGAAGGAAATAGTCAAGAGAAAATAACACTGAGATGAAGCAGATGAGGTTAACAGGCAAAAACTTTAAAGCAACTATTATAAATATTTAAGCACAGTAGCTTAAGAAAAACATATATGAAATAAATGGAAAACTGTAATAATGTCAAAAATTAGAAAACTCAATATTGTTAAGATGTCAGTTCTCACCAAATTGATTTATTGATTCAAAGCAATTTCATTATAATTCCAGAAGGCTTTAAAAAATATATGAATTGCAAATAGACCTTAAAATGTAGATGTAAATGTGAAATATCCAGAGTAGTAAATGCTGGCTTGGATAAGAAGAACAAAGTAGAAGGATATATACAATTTAACTTCAAACCACTCCACAAACCTTCAGAAATCTAGACAGTATTGAATTGGTATATAAATATTAAGTTTAATGGAACAGATTAGAAATTCATGACTTGACTCATTCTTATATGTTCATTTGGGTGTGGAATGAGGTGCCAGAGAAAGTCAGTAGAAAAAACACTTAACAACCAACAGTGGGCAATTGTTAAATTTAAAAACAAATGTTAAATTTAACAATGTAACAAGAGGTGTAAGAAAAAGTATATATCTATGATATTGTGATATAATAAGAAATATTTGGTCTTCGTCTCTGGTTTCTGATACACAGGTTCTAACATTCTTGTGATTTCTTAAGCAGTAAAAGGAACAAAAGCATTTTTGTTATCCCTAATGAAACGGGAAAAGTTCCCTTGTCCCCCTTGTCCCCCTCACCAGGCATGCGATGGGGGTGTGGCTTGCTTCTTCAGCGCTCCTGCTGCTCAAATCTCCAGGGGAGCATACAGAAGGGCAGATTATGGGGCTCCGACCTCACGGCGGTGTCTAGGGGTGAATGTTGACAGCTCCTGAAGCCCCACTGGGTGTGTGTTACAGGGTGCTCTTTTAGTTTGCCATCTATCGGCAGCTTGTGTTAACCAGCTAGCTCAATTAGGCCATCTACCTTGTCCCAAGGTCAGAGGGTTTTCTGTATCCTGGGTTCTTGCCTTGGTGTACCAGAAGAATCGGATCACACGTGGCCTGGAAGAATGAGTGCCAAGTTTTACTGAGTGGAGGTAGCTCTCAGCCAAAGGGGGAGCCAGAAGGGAGATGGTTTTCCCCTTGAGTTGGGCCGCTTGGCAGCTGAGGCTCTCCTCCCACTGCTCTGGCCAAAATCCGCCTTGTGCCGCCAGTTGATGGCCTGCTGGCATGCTGGTGCCTGCTGGTGTGCTCTTCTGCTGGCATGCTCCTCTCGACGTCCTCTCAATGACCAGCCGCTTGCGTATTCTTCCGCTGATGTGTCCCTCATGACCTCCAGCCGCTTGTGTGTCTGTCGGTTAGGGTAGGGTCTCGGGTTTTTACAGGCCCAGGATGGGGGCGTGGCAGGCCAGGGTGGTCTTGGAAAATGCAACATTTGGGCATGAAAGCAGGAGTGCCTGTCCTCACCTAGTTCCATGGGGGTGGAACCCTAGCCAGGGACCTGCCTTTCTCTACTCAGCACTTCCCTGCCCACTTTCTGTATCATTTAAAGGGACCACACTCTTCCCTTCCCAGCACTCCCATATCACTAATAAACATCTTTCAATGTTACCCGAGATGATATTAATGAAGTGACTGGTGGTGGACCCCTAGAGAGCTTCAGGATATGGAATGGTTGCCAGAGGCACCAATCATGTGATTAGAGGGTTAAAATTTTCTCCACCCCTTTACCAGGAGAAGAGAGAAGCTAGAAGCTGAGTTAATTTCCAATGGCCGATGGTTTAAATAATTATGCCTATATGATATTCTAATGAATTAACTCTTGGGGAGCTTCTAGATAGCTTGAGGATGGGGGCTATTTACTGAAAGAACAAACCACAGTTGAAGCTTGGAATGTTTAGCCTGGACTCTCTTCCTCCGGGGATGGAACACCTGGAGATTAAGTTTGATCATTCATAATGCCTATATGATGAAGCCTCGACAGAGATCTCTAAACTGCAGAGTTCACAGAAGTTTCAGGTTGGTGAGCATAGCCGCATGCTGGAAGGGTGGCACACCACAGTTCCACATGACAATAGCTCGTGTGCTCAGGATTCCCCTGGACCTCACCCTGTGTACCTCCTTGTTTGGCTGTTAATTTATATTCTTTACGATATCTTTTAAAATAAGTCAGTAAACATAAGAAAAGTGTTTCCATAAGTTATGTGTACCATTATAGCAATAATTGAATGTAAAGATCGGGTTGTGAGAGCCCCAGGATTGTAGCCAGGTCTGACAGAAGTGTCTTTGCCCAGAGCACCCCATAGTTAAGACTGGTGGCTGAATTGGGGGCAGTCTTGTAGGACTGAGTTCTTAACCAGTGAGCTCTGAATTAACTCTGGATAGTTAGCATCAGAAATGAATTAAATTTCAGGGCGTCCATTTGTTGCCCTCAGAGGACTGAAGGATAGTTTGGTGTGAAAAACCCACATATGCCTTGTCAGAAGTGTTCTAGGGGTAGAAATAGATATGAGGGATATATACATAAAAAAAGAACCCTAATTTCTACCTCATATGAATCACAAAAATTAATTTAACCTTAATCTTATATCTACAATAAAATCTAAAACAATAATGCTTCTTGAATCAATATTGGAGAATATCTTCATGATCTGGGGTAGTAAATATGTCTTAGAATATGAAAAAACTATATCTTAGAATATGAAACTATATTCTAAACTAAATTCTAAAACTATATCTTTCGAAACTATACTCAAACTATATTCTATAGTTATATAATTTCTATAATATATAGAATATATTTCTATAGTTATATAGAATATATTTCTATATTTATATAGAATATATTTCTATAGTTAGTTATATAGAATATATTTCTATAGTTATATTTCTAAACTATATTCTAAAACTATATCTTAGAATATGAAAAAACTATATCTATCTGCAAAAGAGAAGTTAAACTTTGTCAAAATTAAAATCGTCTGCTTATCAATAGACACTGTTAATAACAAATTAAGCCATGGACTGGGGGAAACCAATATTTGTAAACCATAAATTTGATAAAGGATCTAGCTCCAAATTATATGGAAGACACTTAAACTCAGAGCGAGACTCCGTCTCAAAAAAAAAAAAATAAATAAAAATAAAAATAAAAATAAAAAGAGCCACAAAAGCCTGTAAAAGTCTTTTCACAAAAGGACAAATGGGAATTTTCCTTCCCCCCACCAAAAAAAAAATTTGCATGATCAAATGAGTAAACATATTGAGAATAAGAGGAGAAAAATTTCTCATTGTTGAAGAGAGGGCTTACAGATATGGCATATACAGAGAGGGGTAAAGACTTTCTAATATCCTGTGTCGTTTGTTTGGAAGTTAATATAAGAAAATGTGGTACATACACAACATGGAATATTCTGCAGCCATAAAATGTTACAAGATCATGTCCTTTGCAGGGACATGGATGGAGCTGGAGGCAATTTACCTTCAGTAAACTAACCGAGGTAGAGAAAACCAAATACTGAATGTTCCACTTGTAAGTGGAAGCTGAATGATGAGAGTACATGGACACATGTGGGGGAAACAGCACACACTGGGGCCTACAACACACACTGGGGCCTGTCAGAGGGTGGCAGAGGAGGAGGGAGAACATCAGGAAAAATAGCTAATGGATGCTGGCCTTAATAGGTAGGTGATGGGATGATATGTGCAGCAAACAACCATGGCTCACATTTACTATGTAGCAAAACTGCACATCCTGCACATGTGTCCCAGAGCTCAAAGTTAAAAAAAGAAAATTAATATATCAGTGTGAACTCATCTTGTGTGCCCTGAGAGTGCCTTGACAAAATGAGATCCATAATGTGCCTTCTAAATAAAATTATTTAATTGAATATATTCTATCTCTTTTGAGAAATTAATGATTTCAAGGCTATTACACCAAACATATAAGATAAACTTAAAATATCTTGTTGACAGAAACCAAGAAAATACTCAACAGCATGATACGAACATGTCAAAGTGACATCGATGCTAGTTTGAAGAGGTCCTCATTGGCCAAATACAGAACAAATTCAGCATCAAAATTTATTGATAGTTATATTTTATCTTTGAATAAAATAAGAAATCTTGAATTTACACTGGCATAAATGAATGAATAAATAGTATGATAAAATGGAAAAGAAGTACCTAATAAAAATAGGACAGACAGAATAAGAAATTTATCACCAGATGATACAATTTCCTTCACATAGCACTTCTTAATTACAAAGGAAAAATATTAACTTTGTAATACTAAAACCTGGGGATATCACTGTACCCAAGTGTGCAGGGGAATCTCATCCATATTGAGACAAATCAACATCATTTGTCCATGATATATGGACAAATCATTGTCCATATATGAAACATCATTCCTGATATACCCTAGGAATGATACAACATCATTTCAGCAAATATGTCAATTAAACAGTCTCACAGTAACTACCTTATTGTCCTAAAATATTTCAATGTTAACATAAGAAAAACTAAAGAATTCTTTCAGATGAAAGGAAGCTAAAAATGCATGATATCAAATGTTGTGAATGATCCTGGATTGGATCCTGGACTTCACTGGGGTGGAGGGAAGCGTGGTAGAAAACAGCTATAAATTACATTATTGTGGCAGTTGATGAAATTTGAACATGGCTGTGAATTAAATGATAATATTATATCAAGGTTAAATTTTCCGATTTTGGTAGCTATGTTATAGCTCTGTAACAGAATACTCTTGTTCTGTTAAAAGAAACCATCTCCAAATTATTCTCAAATGTTTCAGAAAAAACGTGCACACATGCATACAAATACATACATGGGAGAGGGAGGAAGAGACAGAGAGAGACACACCCCACACACACACACACACACACACAAGGTGCGGGGGGAGAGAATGATTAAACGATGCAAGATATCAATAATAGGTGGATCCAGATAAATGATACCGGAGTTTCTTGTACTATTCCTGAAATTTTTAAGTTCTCAAATAAATCAGCATAAAGGGTTACAAAAAATCAGATAAATGAAACCATTGAAAATGCAAATGTGAAACAATAATTAAAAGAGAAATGAGAAAAGCTGGTATAGTCATTTAAGTATTCATGTGAGAGACAGAGCTAACCTAACAAGGTTGCTGAGGGTGATTAAGGCCTAACCCTCTAGTATGTCACATGGGGAACTGCTGTCTAAAGGGATTAAATAACCCACAGTACAAAGCTAAATAGTTGCAGAGCCATGTTTACCTTCCAGATCTTTTTTCACTCTGCCTGGTACCTTTCCACATTAAATATACTGTTTCTCCTTACAAATTAAGGCATATGTACTAATCAATTGTCTCTTAACATGCAAATTAAAAGTCATCTTCTGAAATGTGGAGTAACCAAAAGAGTCATTTGTAATTTCCTCATGTTTGGCTTGCCTTTCTCATTGTGCCAGGTCAAAACACAAAATTTAAGGAGGAGATCTGGTTTGAGAGGTTTTGTATTTTTTTTTTAATTTTATTGATCTCCATTAATTGTGCATGTTCTCCTACAAAGAGGTTTCATTCTTTCTAAAATACAGCTCAATTTGGTTGTAATGGAATTGTGAATCCTCTAACATTACATGGCAATATTTCACTTTTCTAGACAAACATGAATATTTTTCTAATACCGGAAAGTAAACAAAGGTTCAAAATATTCATTAAAGTAAGAGAGCTACAGGGTCCAGAAAATGCCATGAGACATCTGCCCACACAATCACATAAGGCAGTATGTAGACTATTACACAACACAAATAGTCATATTTCCCACCTTATTTTAATCCTGAATTTTACTTTATTTGGATAACATTTAAAAAATAGATTTGAAGCACAGACCCTTAACACATCTATGATATTCTCTCTACCTTGTGAATTTCAGTGAAAGAAAGATTTAAAACCAGGCTGCAAACCATTGACACTTGGAATTGTATGAGAATGAAAACACATACACACACACACACAAACAACTCTGTATAATCCATTATATGTGAGTATTTTATTCATGCATGCCTGTTTATTACAAGAACAAAAAACTTGCTCTCCAAGACCAGAAAGTAGGACAAAAACAAATGAGAATATTCATAGTCCAATTTCAAAACTATTCCATTGATTATTTGAATTGAGGCTGTTGATCCATTATTCAAATGACTGCCTCAACATCATTAATATATATTGACATTTAGATTAATAGACAGATATTTTGTCTCTACCAAATATCTATATGACATATAAATATAAATATCCTATATAAATATATATGTGTATATAGAGAGAGAGAGTTTACATACACATTTCCTATCTTGGACCAAACTAATCAATGTTTTTGTGGTATTTAACTTCTCCCTCATCATCTTAAAAATTTTGTTGAAATGACCTGTAATTCTTTTTGATTTTTCTTAAAAATAAAATATATTTTAACTTTTATTTTATATTCAGGGAATACACGCACAGGTTTCTTACAAGGATATATTGCATGATGCTGAGGTTTGGAGTTCAAATGATCCTATCAACCAGGTAGTGATCATAGTACCAAATAGGTACTTTTTCAACCCTTTCCCATCTCTTTCCCTCCCAGGCTAGTAGTCCCCAGTGTCTATTCTTGCTATTTTTATATCCATGAGCATCCCATGTTTAGCTCCCACTTATAAGTGAGAACATGTGATATTTGATTTTCTGTTCCTGTGTTAATTCGCTTAAAATAATGGCCTCTAGCTGCATCTATGTTGCTGCAAAGACATGATTTTGTCTTTCTTATGGCTGCATAGTATTTCATAGTATATATGAACTACATTTTCTTTATCCAATCCACCACCGTTGGGCACCTAGGTTGATTCCATGTCTTTGCTATTGTGAATAGTGCTGTGATGAACATATGGGTGCATGTGTCTTTTTCTTTTGGATGTATACTCAGGAATGGGATTGCTGGGCCCAACGGCAGTTCTGTTTGAGTTATTTGAGAAATCTTCAAGCTGCTTTCCACAGGAACTGAACTAATTTACATTCCTGTCAACAGCGGGTAAGGGTTCCCTTTTCTCTAGAGCCTTAGCAGCATGTGCTGTTATTTGACTTTTTAATAGGAGCCATTCTGACTGGTATGAGATGGTTATCTTACTGTGGTTTTGAATTACATTTCTCTGATGATTAGTGGTGTTGAGCATTTTTTCATGTTTGATGGTTGCTTCTATATGACTTGTAATTTTAATCCAGTAGATAAAATTAAAACTATCTTTTATTTATTTCTCTACATTTTTTAAGAAAATATTTCTTACCATTTTTAAAACTTTACAGTTATATTACCAATTATCTTTAAACATATAAGTTGTATTTGTTTCTTGCTCAAAAGTACTTTATATGACGATTTTCATTCTCAAAATTACATTTCTTTGTTCATTTGATTGATTATGTTGTTTGCTTGTTTTTCCAGTGTACCTTCAATAAGTTATTTCTTAGTAGTCACATGACTACTGAATCATCACAAGTTTTACAACTCTAAATAATCACACATCTAAAAATGTAACCGGTAAATATTGTTAAATTAAAAACAATTGTACTGTTGAAGGCATTCTTTTATTGTCCTTTAACTCCATTAGTGATAGCGAAAAACAAATGTCAAACTAATCATTTCATTGTTGTAGGTGATATGTGCTTGTTTTTCACTTTTCCTCTGATAACATCAATATTATCTCTTATTCCTGAAATTATGAAATTTAGAATGTATTTACGCAGAGTCATAAAATTAGGCTTGCTATTATTTGGATTCCTTCATTTTCTAAGATGTAAACCTTTTTGTTTTTTAAATAAATAAGATTTTTCATATCATCCTACTTTTGCCCTATTCTCAGTTATCTCCTTTAACACCTATTAGATGAACACTGACTGTTTTAGGTTTTCATCCACATTTCTTAACTTTACTCGCATAGATTTCTTGTCTTTTTTCTTTGGAATGGATATCCAACAGAATGCATGAATCCAATCTTTAAATTCACCAAGCATTCATTTTTTAAGTTTTTGTTATGCATTTTTGCTATTTATTTTTACTTTTTTTTTTTAATTTATTTTGTAAGTTCGGGAGTAAATGTGCAGGTCTGTTACATAAGTAAACTTGTGTCACGGGGGTTTGTTGTACAGATCATTTCATCACCCGGGTATTCAGCCTAGTACCCATTGTTGATTTTTCCCGATCTTCTCCCTCTTCCCAGCCTTCACCCTCGAGCGTCTCCCCAGTGTGTGTTGTTACCCTCTATGTTAGCTACTTATATTGAGATTTTTCTTAAAACTATTTTATCAATTTGTGGGTTTACTTTTATAGATGTTATTTTAAAATAAATTCATATTTTTGAAAGCTTTGTATTATTGTAGTAATTTATAAATTATCTTCTACTTTTTTGAACAACTCAATAGAGTTGAAGTTAATTTTCTATTAAGTTTAGTGTCTATTTTTATAACTTTTAACATTTCTTTAAAATGTGTTAAATTTTTGTTGCCTGGCTATATTTGAAATTTGAGATTATCATGATATCTATCTGTATTTTCAAGTGAGAATATACATATATATGTGTGTGCGTTTGCATGCATGTATATACTTCATTATAGTGAAGAATGGTTTTATCAATGCCCCGTCACTTTTAAGTACCATTACAATTCAAGTTCTCTAGAAAAACATATTTCTATCATTCACAACTGAATTGTATACATTATGACCACTTTGGAAGGCACAATCATGGCCACTCAAAAGTGTCCCATGTTCTAATTCCCACTACCTGTGCATATGTTAGATTACATAGCAAAGAAAAATTAAGGTTGAAGAAGGTTGATAATCAGTTGACCTCAAGATAGGAAGATTAAGTTAAAATTACCTTAAAATAGAAAGTTTGGGTTCTAACAGCTGGAAAAGGGAAGGGAATGGATTCTTCTCTGGAGTCTCCAGATGGAATGAAGCCCTGTCAGCATTTTAATGTTAGCCCATGATACTCATTTCAGATTTCTGATCTCCAAAACTGTAAGAAAATAAATTTGTATTGTTCAAGTTTAAGCCACTGATTTTGCAGCAATTTTTTTTGAATAACAGTAGAAGGAAGTAACTGAAAACACTTTTTGAGGCAATCTGTTTTTAACCTAGGCGTATTACTTATAATAGCCCAACATTTTCCAAAGCAAATTATGTCCAATGCAGAAATGATACAAGTTTGGGAATTTGGGGCATTAGGAAATTGGTTAAAAGAATATTGCCAATATGGACAAATTGAAGGAAACACTTCTCTCATAGTAAACTTCACAAAGAGAAAAAATGTATTCACCAGCCACAGATTGCAACTCTAAAATTGGTTAATGTAGGTTGGTGCAAAAGTAGTTGTGGTTTCTTTCATCACTTTTAATGCAAAAACTGTAATTACCTTTGCACCAGTTTAATAATTTATCAAATGGTACTTACTAGTAAAACAAAATGCAATAAGTATAATTCAGAATGCTAGTGCGTAAAACCCATAAAAGTAAATCATGTTTTCATACATGAATACATTTATGATTATGTAATAGAAAGTACTTTTTGTTAAAAATCTTGCAAAAGTACATTTGGTAAACATTTTTGAAGTAAGCAAGTATAGTATTTATCTATTTTTTATATATGCTTTATATTTGGAAATCTGATTTTTGATTATGATTATTACGTAAACAAATCAATAAATTAGACAGTAAGCTTATACTTACTATATTGTCCACTTTTCATACCCATCATTTGTGTGAATCAATTATCGTTGATTGTCAATTACTTTCTAAATTGCACTGCTTATAACAGGCTTCTGGTTTATGTTTTGCTATAGTTGATTTTGATTATAAACCATTATACTCAACTTTAATAGACTTAAGACAATGCTCTCTATCTAGAGCAGTTAGTTTCTCTTTTCTCTAGACCAAGTGAACTAATTCAAAGAATCTAGGCTCTCAAGAAGTGAAAACTTAGAGATAAACCTAAATAAATAGATTCAATGACAGAATGAAATTATGATGGTATAAAGGCAATGTTACAGGGATGGTTAACATCTCTTGGAGATTGTGCAGATATTCAAACTACTATTACGACTTGGGACATCTTTCCTTACAAGTAATAACAGTTTTGTTGTCAATGATTGTCTCTAAATATTTTACCAGATATGGACTGGGACTTGAGCCATAGAAGGTAAAATGAAAAGAAAATCCAGGGCAAAGTTCACCTAACAATACTGCTATGACCCTCCATTTCTTGCAATCTTACCATTTTACATGTTTTTACATGCTCTTTCACAGGTCAACACATCTGTAGATCATTGCCTGAAATGACAGTAATAAATTGAGTAGTATTGCTGTTAGTGTGAAATTAACTGACGATAATGTAATAAACGAACATCTTACAAACATTAACCAATTCACCATTGATGGATATGAAGATAAAGATGTGGATTTAAAGCTAGTCTCCTTATATATAAACAATCAATGGTATGTAGCAGAAAACTGTCTACTTGGAGCCAAATAATTCATAAAACTTTAGCCTCAGTAGAAAGTCCAAAAAGATAATAAGTCAAGTAAAAGTGAAATACATTTTTAAAAATTACTCTTTACATAGATTGATAGATTAACTCACGAGGAACTTCTGTTTCTTTCAGCAGTTTTCAAGAAATATAGTTTCCCTGCCAGAAAAGTTGGCTTTCGCCTGTAATCCCAGCACTTTGGGAGATCGAGGTGGGTGGATCACCTGAGGTCAGGAGTTCGAGACCAACCTGGCCAACATAGTGAAACCCCATGTCTACTAAAAATACAAAAATTAGCTGGGCGTGGTGGTGTGCGGCTGTAATTCCAACTACTCAGGAGGCTGAGGCAGGAGAAGTGCATGAACCCAGGAGGCAGAGGTTTCAATGAGCCGAGATTGCACTGCTGCACTCCAGCTTGTGCTGTGACTCCTGCCTGGACGACAGAGTAAGACTCTGTTTAAAAAAAAAAAAAAAAAAAATATATATATATATATATATATATATATATATACATAGTCCCAAACACCAACTACTAAGTTGCAGTAAATCAAATACATTACTTATTTTTCACCAATAATATACATTATTCCTCGTATAGCTTATTGCTTAAACTTATTTAACTGTGAAGTGTTCATACCTGTACATGTTTGGATTTCTTATTCTATTTAAAAAATAAATCTATTTCACTGCTTATGTGTTAGTCATGAGCTACAATTTTAATTTTAACTTTTAACTGTAATTGTAATTAATGCAATTTGCATCAGTATTACAATTAAGATGTTCATCAAATAATAGCCAGATATATATGTACGCATATATATTTGAATATTTTATTGAAATAAACTCTTCCAATGCATTAAAAAAGACTTTAAATAAAACAAACCAGTGTAAATGGACTAAATGACTAAATTCTGCCATGCACCTCTCTATGTAGTTTCAAACTACATGGACAAGCTAGGTCATAGGTAAGTGCAATGTGGACACAGCATGAGTTAGAAAGAAAGTGATATAGATAATTAAAATCACTAGAGTTTGACACATGAGGCAGGGATGAAACTTTGGTGCTTGTGGTTTTGTAGGTGGCGCTGAGAATCTTTGAATAAAAATCTCAGTTAAAGTAACTGTATGTCTTCTTAAAGAGCCTGTGAAAATGGAGAAGTTATAGGATACATTATCTCAGAAAATGAATAAAAAATGTAAAAGCATTAGAGCTTCAACCAGATGTGCACTCAGAATTGAAAGCTGAAGGATGCAACTATCACCATGAACATGATGTACAACATCCATCTTTGGTCCATCCATTCACTTAGCGACCTGTGAATAATGTTTTTCAAATGGCTTCATCATCACTCACACAGGCCCGAACCCAGACCCACATTATAGGTTCCGGAGTCAAAATTTTGTTGACAATGAAGAGTCCTATGCACAGAAATATAAGCAAGAGCAATGTATAAATAAATCTTTTAGCATTAACCAGCCATAAAATTTTTCTTCCAGCTGGTAATGAAACAACAGAAATAATCTGAATGTTAACAGCAAAAGTGAAAACCAAGCTATAGATGCAGGTTTTATTTTGTTTTAGATTCATCAGATCTTTTACCATTTCTTTCACTTTTTTTGTTTCATTTTGTTTATGTGTTTTTGAAAGAGGTCTTAAAGTAGAAATATCAAAAGCAGGTGGTATTGTCTGTAATTATCTTCTAATGATATGGGTCAGATGTTTATTTTTTTCCATATTTCATAATATTATCACAGATTCTTCTGGTAGGTTTTTTCCAATTTACAGTTAATGTGTTTTCTAATGACATAAAGTGTAAATATAATATTGACTATTCCATTCCTGAATTTTGAATCGGAGAAGATGTGATTGTAATGAGCCAATTAAGCTATCATAAAATGTCTGAGCAGCATGCAGTTTTATTGAAAGAATTGCCTGACCTATCAATATTGTTTTCTTTCCTCTCAGATTTAATCTTGTACTTAACATGCAATGGAGAGTTGGGATAGAGCTAGAAGCCTGAGGTACTAGACAAGGCTCTGGGGTCTTTAGCATGGATAAGATAAGACATACATATTAACATGCTATTTTTCTTTTCATAAGTTAGAACAGGGCAAATTTGACAAGGACAATTAAAGGAGAAAAAGCAGCCCTGCAGCCTTCCTATCAATATTAATTCTACCTCTCTCTCCAGGCACATTTCTATCATACCCAGTAACTTTTATCCTTCAACTCCTTTCTTCTTGCTATTTCTATCCATCTCCTTATCATCATCTGGGTGCTAGCAAAATGCAACATAATCATAGTGAGGGAGTGAAGAAAATCAATTCTACACCCTTGTTTTCTCAACTCAAGCTGAAGGTGGAATCCTATTACCAAATATAATGACAAACACATGCTATTGTGGTTAAACACCTATATAAAATAAAACAACAATCGACAAACAAAAGCAATGCCCACATTGCCAGATTCTGTGTCTATCCATTGGCCTTAAGAATGATCATCTTATGTAGAAATCTTTCTTGATATCCTCTGTTTAGTTGATCCACAATTTGCTTCATGGTAACAACACTCCTTATCATAAAGACTGGTAACAACTTATGCACTTAGCAATAAAATATAATAAAATAAATGAGTTCTCAATCAGGTAATAGGTGTTTGTAAACTCAAGAAAAATGAGTGGAAGACTGGTGTTAGGTTAGCTTGAGAATAAACCTGTGAGTTTGAGTACATGACAGGTCTTTACCCTACATTGATACCATAGGATTTTTCCATAAGGAAAGCATATAAAGCCTCGTTTTCAAGCATAACAGTAGAATATATTCAGTGTAACTATCCCCTTGTTTTGATTTGTTTTTCTTCTTTGATAACGCAAGCTAAAAATCTACAGCTTTCTTTTTTCTAAGTGTGTTGAATCCAGGTCTAAAATTAACTTAGAAAAAAGAGTGACAAATGCTATATTTTTTTAACTCCAATGCATATAAGATACTTATTGAAGAGTTTATGAGATATTGTTCATTCCTTAGTGCTTATGTGAGAGGGAAAGAGAAGACAAATGGAAAAGCAGTGATCTGCAGCAGTGGAAATTCTGTACACTGACAACAGGGACATCACTAAGTGGCAGTTCAGTGTAGTTGATGGTCCCAACACTCTACCCCAGTAGATGTGAATTCTTGTTTTGAGCACCACAAGAGCTATGACCCAAACACAAAGCAAGAGGTAAACTTGATACACTCTGTTTTATCCCAGGACTCCTTTAAAAAGCATCATTATTGAATTAGAAGAAGGGCAAAATTTATTGGTATATTGAAATATTTGAATTTATGATGAGACTATTGAGTAAGTCGGCCTATCATTGAGAGAGAAATGTGCTATTTGGTTACAGAAAAAAAGGGCTAACAAATTGTGAGAGAGTTCATACTTTTAAATCATTGATAAAAATCTTATATTTTCTGGAGATAAGTACTATTGTACCCATCACTAATTCTTCCTTTTTTAAAAACAACAATTTTCCTTCATTTTAAAATTTGTAACTTAAAAAGCACTTTCATACATATTATGTCATGTTGTTTTAGGATAATAAAATGAATAGAAGCCAAAATGTAATGGGCATACAAAAAAATATTCCCAATGCCTACTAAGGACTGTAAAAGTAAGAAAAAGAAAAAGCAATTTTTATCTTCAGATACAGCAATATTTACCTTTGGGTTATCTTGGTACCAATCCTTGAGTTTTTGAAACTCACAGCAACTTGGGTTGTAACTTGAAATGTAAGTCTAGTTACATTTAAATATAAATATAAATACACATATTGCAATAAACGGTATGCACACAAGTATGAGAAAGGCAAGCGTATAATTTCATGTGCTATTTATCTGTAAATACATATACAGTCCCATGAATTGTCTTCCTTTATCATATATCTTAATTCACACACAATTATTTAAATAACATTTAAAAAATTATAAATTGGTATTTTAAATATTACTATTGCTTTTGATTTTGTTGGTGGTAGAGCAGGATAACTTTTGAAGAAGTTTTGTGTTTAAGTTAAATTTAATATATTGTGTAATAAAAATGATATTATTGTAATGACGGTCATTCATGCTGCAGATAAAATGCAATGTGCTTGGGAATATGTAAGCATGTCTTCATCGAGATGTTTTTGTACTTGTTCGAACACTGAAATTGATGCTTTCATGTTGGAACCAGGCCCTGATGAACAGAACATTCAACAGAACATTAACAGTAGGGACGAAGACAATGATAAGTAATATGGATTGCCACCAATATAATGGAATACTATGGAACATTTTCTTTTTATAGGAATTATTTTCTTTTATAAATTTATTTTATTTTTTTCTTACAGAGACAAGTTCCCACTATGTCGCAAACTCCTAGGCTGAAGCAATCCTCCCATCTCAGCCTCCAATATTTCTGGGATTATGGGCATGAGCCATCATGCCTGGCCTCAGATATTTCTTTCAAATACAATTTTACATAAAAGTTTATGGAAAAAAATAATGAATTGCCAACTCATAACACAAACTTAATGCTTACTGTGGCCATTAGAGGTTAAAAA
Source organism: Homo sapiens (assembly GCF_000001405.40). Lineage (NCBI taxonomy): Eukaryota > Metazoa > Chordata > Mammalia > Primates > Hominidae > Homo > Homo sapiens. Next base: position 104,206,359 of record NC_000003.12, read on the forward strand.
TGTAGCAATTAATCAAATATTTCTACGGTGACTTCATTTTACCCTGCAAGCATTTTGGTCTCTTCATTAGCAGCTAATGGAAATATTTGGAAAAAAGTCTAACAATGGCTGATATCTGCAATCAAACAGATATCCTTTCAGACACTCTGATGCTGAGCTACCTTTCATTAAGAAGTGTTATCAGTCTAATTTAATCTCCACATTTAAAAACTAGAATTCTGAAAGTTGCATACTATCTAGTTTTCAAAAACATAGAAGCAAACATGTTACTGAATTATACTTACTTTTGACAACTACATTTTTTCAAATTAAAAATTTCTCACACATTTGGTTGAATCTATTATTAATCTTTACTTGTTTTGAAAACCATTGCTTAGTATTTTTAACATTTCCTGCACCACAGTAATTATAACATTTTATATTTATGCTAAATAAGTGTCTTCTATTTTTATTCAAGATTAATTATATGTGTGTTTTTGTGATTAACGCAGTTCTTTAAATCAGGGGTCCCTAAACCCCAGTCCACTGACCAGTAGAAATAAAGTACACAATAAATGTAATGTCCATAAATCATCCCAAAACCATCTCCCACCCCCATTATAGGGAAAAATTGTCTTCCACGAAACTGTTCTCTGGTGCCAAAAAGATTGGAGACTGCTGCTTTAAGTGACATAAGGTAATGGTCCATGGCCTGTAAGCAACTGGGCAGCCCAGCCAGAGGTGAGCAAACAGAGGAATGAGCAAGGCTTCATTTCTATTTACATATGCTCCCCGTCACTTGGATTAGTGCCTGAGCTCCACCTCCTGTCAGATCAGCAGTGGCACTAGATCTCATAAGAGCATGAACTGTATTGTGAACTGCACATATGAGTGAGCTAGGTTGCATGCTCCTTATGAGTATCTAATGCCTGATGATCTGTCACCTTCTGCCATCACCCCCAGATGGGTCCACCTAGTTGCAGGAAAACAAGCTCAGGGCTCCCACTGTTCCTACATTATGGTGAGTTGTATAATTATTCCATTATATATTACAATGTAATAACAGTAGAAATAAGGTGCACAATAAACGTTATGCCTGTAAATCATCCCCAAACCATGCCCACCCCAAATATATGGAAAAATGGTCTTCCACGAAACTGGTCCCTGGTGCCAAAAAGGTTGGAGACTGCTGCTTTAAGAGACATACATTTGTATGTAATTTAGAATTCTATAGACTGAATGCTCCCTGACACTGGCCACTGAGCTAAACCTGAATTATGACTTTTTACCCTTGGCATGGTCTTAGCATGAGTGTAGTATCATTCTCAGCCTCTCGACTTGGAGGTTGACCATGTGGCTTGCTTTAACTAACGGTATGTAGTCATCCATGACCGTGTGCTTTTCTGAATCTAAGTCTTAAGAGTCTCATGTAATTCTGTGTATTGCCTTGTGCTTTTGACATCACTATGATAAGAGCATGCCCTGCTGATCTGCTAATCCAAGGAGGATGACATACATGGAGAGTGGACTAGAACTCACAGACCTGCAGTGTGGAGAAAAATGGTACATCTAAACCCAACCTGGAGCAGATGACCCCTAGGTGACCTCAGTTTCATGAAAAAACAGTTAAAATCAGAAGACCTTGTAAAGCTGAGCCCTGCCCTGGTCAGCCAACTCACAGTTGGCTGATAATGCCTCAGGGCATTAGCAGGTCTATGATTCTTAATGTAGTTTGATATAAAAGCACACTTTTTGGTGTGGTTTAGCTCCATGTCTCCATCCAAATCTCATCTTGAATTGTGATCCCTATGTGTCGAGGGAGGGTCCTCATGGGAGATGATTGGATCATGGGGGCAGTTTCCCCCATGCTGGTCTCATGACAGTGAATGAGTTCTCAAGAGATCTGGTTGTTTGAAAGTGTGGCACATCTCCTATCTCTCCGTCTCCTGCAGCTATGTAAGAATTGCTTTGCTTTCTCTTTGCCTTCCACCAGGATTGTAGGTTTCCTGAGGCCTCCCCCGCCATAACAGAACTGTGAGTCAATTAAACCTCTTTTATTTATAAATTACCCAGTTTCAGGTAGTTTTCTATAGCAGCGTGAAAATGGACTACTACCCTTTTTTTTTTTGCTTTTGATTTTGTTCGTTTCATTTGGCAATAGCCAATTAATACAACTACTTTATTTTTCATAGATATTTTCCTGTGTTTCTTCTTCTGTCCTTTTGCTAAAATGGGTAATTGATATTAAATAATTAAGTAAGTTACTAAGTGTGCCACGTAAAATTACTACAGTGTGAGGACATTACAGTGTACGTACTATGAACAGTAGACTAACCAACAGGTCAACTAGGTTCAGTTTATTCCAATTCACAAGGGGAATGCTTTGAGAGTTTTTGTATTTGTCTGTTTTTTTGTTTTTTTTTTGGACCACCTAGCTTTCTTTTTAGTCTGGTAATTGAAATCTCTTTTTTTTCTTTTTGATATTTTCTTTGATGTATGAATAACTACTTGGTGATACCTTAAAAAAGCATGCTCTGAAAAGCCACCTAAAGCCAAGTATTGAAGCTTTAGTCTCCCTTAAATTTTATTTAAACATTTAGTAACTTTGCTTTATCTGGATAAGCTCTATCTGGAGCAGTTCTCCTAAGTGCTGCTCACTGCCGTCAAGTCATTTATAACCCATCAACATTGCACTTAGTTTTATCTACTCATGTTTTATCTTCTTAAAGGTAAGGATGCTATTGGGTTGAATTCAGTAAGACATAGAAGTGAATTTTCACTGCCATCATAAAATTCTGCCTGGTTCTTACTGTGTCATGGCAAACATTTGTGAGATTCTTAGTTTATGTTACTAGTTCAATGTGTACTCAAAGTCTAACTAAATCACAAAGAATGAAGTTTCAATTCTCTCCCCAGAATAACAGCTATGTTGGGAAACTCACAGTCACCTGATTGGAACACAAAGTCTATATTCAATGGCAAAAGAAACCAAATCACTTAAGTCAGGATAATAAACAATCACAATGTAGAAAAAATTAGGTTGTGTTACATATAGTTTTTTTTAACATCTAGCGAGGTAAGATGCCAAAGGCAAGCTTAGATATAAAACCACTGTAAAACTGATTTCACATAACACCAGTGTAGAATCCAGGCAATAATTCACTTAATCATGCTCTACAAAATCAAGATTGCATGAAGTTCTACTGTGAATGGCTGTCATTACTATTGATTAGAATAACTAGATTTAGACAAGTTGCTGAAAGGATAGACTTAAAATAATCAAGTTTCAATAACATTTCACTTTTAGAGAAATCTGTGAAAGATATAATCAAGAATATCACTTTCAAGTAACTAGGACTTCATAAATCCCTGAAAAAAATTTATTTTCCAAAATAAATAAAATAGAAGAGAATATAATAGAGAAGGTATGTGTACAATATGATCAGGCATTATGAATATATGTGTGTGTATATATATATATATATATATATATATATATATATATATATATATGTATACCTACGTGTGTGTGTTTTTGTGTATAAAAATGCATCTCTCTTCCCAGTGTCATATCTATGGGATGTGGAAGAGCTAAACTATTATACATGGTAAGAATGATTTATAAATGATGCTATTTTCTAGTTAGTGATAAAAATGAAAAATATCTGGGAACTTAAATATTTATTTCTACCTTTTTTGACAAATTGGAGACCAAATTCTAGTTATTGAATCAGAACGTCTAATTTAGATGTAATGGAGTAACACAACTGCCAAGTGTCTTCTAAGGCAGTGACAGTTACGTTCTGTAGACCAGTTGAGTCATTCTTCTTGTATCAATCTGAGATGACTTAGCAGGAGACCGACCCACACATGCAAATTTTAATTATTTTTTCTTTCCTTTATTTTATTTTATTTTATTTATTTATTTATTTATTTTGAGATGGAGTCTCCCTCTGTCACCAGGCTGGAGTGCAGTGGCACGATCTCGGCTCACTGCAACCCCCACCTCCTGGGTTCAAGCGATTCTCCTGCCTCAGCCTCCCAAGTAGCTGGGATTACAGGAGTGCACCACCACACCTGGCTAATTTTTGTATTTTTAGTAGAGTTGGCATCTCACTGTGTTGGCCAGGATGGTCTCTATCTCCTGACCTCGTGATCCACCCACCTTGGCCTCCCAAAGTGTTGGGATTACACCTGTTAGCCACCGTGCCCAGCCTACAAATTTCTATTTTTATTTCATTTGAAAACTCACCAGCAACAAGTGGAGCATATAAAATAAAATGAAGAAACAATTTAAACTACAAATTAATTATGAATAAAGAAAATAACTATGGATGCTTTATAACGTAAATTCAAGGAAAATGTAGAAAGTTTTGGAGGTGGTAAATTTTAAAATGCTTTTTTTATATATTAATAATAAGTAAAAGCATACCCAGACTGATTTTACCTAGTTCTTGCTGAAACTCACTGGTCTTCAAGAAGAGTTCTACAGGAAACTGAGATTTTCAGGGCAGTCTAACAGTTTTGATTCAAGACAGGAACATGCCTAGATTTTAGCTCCCATGCTAAACTTTATCAAGGTAATTTTGCTTTTATCCATTGCTTTTTAATATTAATGTTGTGCAGCAAAATATTTATTTTACAAACTATTTTCAATATAACTTGTTTGCAAAAGAATGGCTGTATTACTCAATATCTTTAATATTTTTAATTAGTTATTAATTTAAAGTTTGTGATATGAAGTTAATAAACATTGAGCAGATTATAATGACCTAAATGTAATCTATAGTACGGTAGCTAATATTAGCAATGTTGCTAGACGCTTTTAAATTAAACTGCATATTCAACTACAGGTTTCAATCATTTCAGAGTAATTTATATTTGACATATTCTTCCTCTGAAAACAACTATAAAACCAAGAAAAAATATGTATATGGAGATTCTTTTCAGGCATTGAACAACAGAAATGCATGACTGAGATTCCTTAGGGAATGGGCAAACATGAAGTGACTCTGTCTCCTTGGCCTCCTTTCTGCAGACATTCTCCTGGCATGTCATATATACATATGAAGAACTACGAGAGGGCAGTTCTCTTAGCCAAGAATTGGGAAGAACACTTATGCCAGCCACATTTGCATGTGCTACTTCAAACTGTCCGCTTATAAGGCTGCCAGTTTTGACTGGGGACCAATAGAAGAGCATACTCGGTAATGAGGTGAGGTTTCAGTACAAGCTGCTCTTCTTTGGGATCTTATGGTGCAGCAAATTCAATAACGTTCAATATGTTTTTGAAAATAGGGATGCTTTATGGTATATCTGACAAATAACAGTGGGAGAATCATGGAGAAGACTTCTAAGATTTTCAGTCAAATCTATGCCATCTTCTACAAATAATTTTTCTCCTCTAGAAAGAAACAAAAACAAAAAACACAAACAAACAAATACTTGTGGCTTGCTATTCAGCCCTGATAGAGGGTGAATAATCATAGTTAATTAGTTGATCATGCTGTCTGAGATTTCCATCATAAACTGGATGCTATCACAGCCACATGCCATCGTTTGGGTATGTACATCAGTTACCTATATACGTATACACACAGACACATACACATATAGATATAAATACATGTGTACATAATAGATGTGTATTCCATGCTCACCAAAGGGCAATTATTACAGAGATGGTTCTCAATAGCCACCCGTAGACAATATGGTCTATTTTAAATTGATTTTATTCAACTTCTTTCTCTTGCCATGGTATTGCTTTATTAATGGCTATTTGAAAACTATGGTGAGAGGGATATGGTATATACATGGATTCAACATCTTACCAAAGCTGATCCATCTACCACAACTATTGAGTTCAGAAGTTACCAAGAACATGAGACCCTGACATGGCCCCCTTTCTTTGAGATCAGCCAGTTAATTTTGTTGACCTCCTATTATGAAGTAGGCAGAGATTTATCATCATCACTGAAATAGACATGCACTGGGGACGTTTTTCTTTCTTGCCCACAATAATTTCACCAACACCAACATTTCTGGTCTCACAGAATATCTTATCGACTATTATGGTGTTTCATAGAGTGTTGATTCTAATCGAGGGACTCATTTTATTGCAAGGGATATGGAGCAATTAGCACATGCCCATGGAAGATTTTTTTCCATGATAATTCTGTCTTTACTAAATTGTAATGTATTTTATTTTAATCAAATAATATCCCTTCACAGAATATACACTAAGAAATGACTTTTCCTAAATGAAATTGCTTTTTTATTGCCTTTCTACCATATACTCCATTTGCATCTCTAGAACATTAAAAACAGTCTTTGGATGTTACTTCTTCAGCAAGTGAAGTGTGTTATCTGTAAGAGTTCTGGTGGATATAACACTTTCTTTACAGGCATGGGCTGACAGGCTGCATTAATGAGTCTGAATATCACCAGCGTTTTTAAAACTTTTTCACCAAGGCTAGATGAATTTTGTATTTTCAAAGTTATGAAAATGTAAGAGCCTGATGTTTGTTTTTTGTTTGTAATTTTTTTATGTCTTGAAAGAAGAGAGGAAAATTATCAGGAAAACCACCTGAAAATAAATTGAAGCAAAAAAAATTGTTCGTATGTTTATTCATTTTTTCAAATTTTAGACTTTGGCAGTACACATGCAGGTTTGATGCATGGGTATGTGGCGTGATGCTGAGGTTTGTGCTTCTAATAATCCCATTGCCAAAGTAGTGAGCATAGAACCTGACAGGTAGTTTTTCAGCTTCCTCTCCCCTCTCTCCTCCGTTTTGGAATCCCCAGTGTTTGTTGTTCCTGCTTTGTGTCCATGTGTATCCAATGTTTAGCTCCTACTTATAAGTGAGAACATGTGGTATTTAATTTTCTTTTTCTGTGTTAACTGACTTAAGGTAATGTATGCCCCTGGAATTAATGAACTTACCACACACCTCATCACTAAGAAGTGGCTGACTGAATGAAATGGCTTGCTGATGACTAAAGTATAGCATTTGTTGAGACACAATACATTGAAATGATGAGATTTTCCCTTACAGGATGTAGCTTATGGTTTGAATTAGAGACCATTATATGATATTTTCACCTTCATAGTTAAAAAAACAAAAATTAGGAAACCAAGGGGTAATCATAGAAGTGACTTCCCTTGCTGTTATTCCTAATAAACCAGTAATAGAATTTTTTTTTCTTGGCAATTTTGAGCTCTACTTCTAAGGTGGACTTAGTTATCAGGGAAAGAGAAGGTAACTTTGGTACTGCCAAATTGGAAAATAAGCTTACCCCTGATAACCTTGGGCTACATATCCACTGAACTAACCACAGAAAAAGAAGTTACTCTAACGGTTGAAGTGATTGATACTGATTACCAAGAGGAAACTGTTTTGATTTCACACAACAGGAGCACAGAGTATTCAATGCTTTTAAAAGGAAGAGGTTCATAGCACTTTTATGCAAATAGTAAAAGTAATGGAAAAATTAGAGCAAACTAAGAAAGCAGAACTAATGAGGACTCAAATACTTGAGAAATAAAGGGTGTGAGTTATTTTACCTGGTAAAGAATTCCAACTTGCTAATGTTCTGGCTGAAAACAAAAAAAAACATAGACACAGGAAGGGGAACATCACACTCCAGGGACTGTTGTGGGGTGGGGGGAGGGGGGAGGGATAGCATTGGGAGATATACCTAATGCTAAATGACTACTTAATGGGTGCAGCACACCAACATGGCACATGTATACATATGTAACAAACCTGCACATTGTGCACATGTACCCTAAAACTTAAAGTATAATAATAATAAAATTAAAATAAAGGAAAACAAAAAAAAATCATTGAATAGGTAAGAGTTTGCAGATATCAAACACAGTCTCGTGACCAATTACAGAAGTGAAGACACTGGTAGTTTTATATGCATTTTCTTTGCTTGTTATGTTTATATATTTACTTATATACAGTTATTAAGTATTTTCATCTCTTTCTACTTATTATTTTATATACACATTATTGAAGATTTAACTTACAATTTTTTGCCTTAGATAAGAAATATTCAGTTGAATGGTTACTGGATTTGAGAATTAACCAGTGTAGCTAGTGATAGGTAAAATGACAGTTGAGACCTAGTGTCCCCTCATGGTGGTGGAGGGTAAGAACTTCATCCCTAGTACATAAAATAATGACATCCTGTTAGGTGGAAACAGAGTTGTTTTTGTTGTATTATAGAAGTTAAAACGTTTGAATAAGGGTGTGTATGGAATATGAATAACCATCTACATAGAATATGACAGTTATCAGTTTATTGACTTTCAACTGCAGACCCATCTTTTCTTTCCTGCATTGTTATAGTGGACCTGGACATTACTTAGCCAACTGATGTCAATGTTAAGCTTTGTCAAAAAAGGGAACTAGAAAGATATCCCAAAACGAGGGCAGGAGGAAGGGATTCTGCTGTTTCAGCATCACGAGCAGTGGATGGCTAGGTAGTGTTAACCTCAGAGGCCCTCATGAGCCAGCCCATAAACCTCAGTGAAGCTGAAATACTCTGGTGGGTTTCTCTAAAGCCTGGTAGGCTACTGCTATGGGCTAGTTGCAGTTCAAACTCTTGAGCAAGTTTCTTCACCACTTAGAGGGCTGACCTACACCCTCCAGCAAATTTACTCGCCATGGCATTGAAAGTGTTCCAGGGATAGCTCCACTCTTTGGAAAGAGGATTGAATCACAGTTTTGGGGGCTGTCTCCTACCATAAATTTCTAAGTCACTTCCCTGTTTGCTTTCTCTTAGCCTTAGAGGTCGAATCAACTTTATATCTTTGCTACTGTTGCACCCCTTAAAGACTTCCTTTTCTGAGTCACTAATCATATGTACTAGGTAACAATTCTTACTATTTACTTTGCCTTGTTCAAATTATCAGTATACTTTCTGTCTCTTGACTTGACCCTGACTAATACAACCATATGTCTTGTCCCAACTCTATTCTTTCTTGACATTTCTTTAGCTTTCCTTTCTTTCTAGTTCTATTATCTGCTTCATTTACTCTTTTTAAGATTGAATTTTAAAACTTATGAAGTAATGGCATTTATGAAGTAATGTGTTTTTAATTTTTGAAGCAGGAGAAATTAAAGGCTTTTAAAATTTCTTTAGGGAAAAATGGTATATTTTAAAAATGCTAGCTATCTTTATTTTCTTGTGTTTAACAAGCCTCTGACTGTTAAGATTCTGGAGTCAGTATTCAGTCCAGGTTCAAAGTACTGGCATGCCCTTTAATATCATTACTCTCTCTGCAACTCCAGATAAGTTTAACCACGTACCATCTATAGAGATAATACATATAAATGAGTGGGCATCAGGGTATGAAAACATTAATTTATATGCTTTTAAAAATACAAAATTTAGCCTAGTGTAATAAATTACTTATGGGTAAGTTGGGGAAGAAGAAATATAAAACGATAAATGTAATTTAAAATAGGACGTAAACAAGGAGGACATCACGTGTTCATGTGAATCTTGTAATTGCTTCCATGTTTACCCTATAAAAGAGGTCCAAATGACCTCAGAAGCTAAAGCCAAAAAAAAAACTGTCTTTGAGTAATAACTAGCTCTTTTATATTTATTGATTGCATATATGATTTTTGTTTTGGTTTATGTTTCTCTTACATATTGTTTACTTATTTCTATAATCAGCCTTAAAGTTTAGTCTACCTAAAAATGGAGGAATTTCACAATAGAAAGATCAAGGCAGGAAAATGTCAAGTAAATAACCTCCTTAAATACTTGAAAGAAAATTTTAATTTTGTTTTCATGTTTCCATTGAAAAGGCAAGATAAAGAGTTAAAACAAAAACTACGCTAATTCATCATGTAGAGGAAATGTTACTAATATTGGCTTTAACCAATGAGGCTGATTTGTATTTGGAATGGTATTCAGGTTCACATTACTGTAGAATAAGTAGGAAGCATTTTTAAATTAATTTCATAAGTAACAGACTTTATTGATATTTTAATCAAAGTAAGTGTGTTAAATTCCCTCTTACTTTATCAAATTAATTCATTTTTATATTACTGCATTAGACCTGAAGATGAAGATATTTTACTTCCTTTAGATGCAACCAGATGAAGACCTGTGGAACAGATGGAGGGCACACCCTGGGATGGAACCTTACAGAGACAGATCTGCCATCAAATCTCTGCAAATCACATTTTACAACTTCATGGGGTACACACCTATGGCTATTTTATAATGTAATTTGCTGCCACACAACAGACCTTGTAGCCCTGTAAAATGACTATTTTGTTGTCTTTAAAATATGCCTGAAAACGATAACAAAATAAAGGAGCTGGAGTATCATAGGGAGATAATGTCCAAAGGAGGTACATGAGATGCGTTAACAAGACCTCTTTCTGCCAAAATTCCTGCTTTGTATTCTAACACTATATTCCTCAGGAGTGAAAATGGGAGTTTGCCATGAAAGATTAATTTTTCCAGTTTCTTATGATTATAAGCACACCTGTTCTCAATAACTGTGATAATAGACTAAAGGAATTCTGTGCTAAGTACTTCTTCTCTTATGCTATTCTGCCTAGAACAGGAATTTGTCTTTGGATAACTGATTCTCAAAACAGTGAGTTGTTCATGAGGTGGAATTTATAATATTTTATAGACAGAGTGTGAACTTATTTTATAATTGAATCTTTGAAACATCTCATCCATTCCTAGCTGCTTTTATGTCTTAAAGACAATCTGAACTCTGAATATTAACTATTATAGCATATCTGTTCATAGCTTTATGTTATTCATTGTATCTTGCAAATGAAAATAATGAGACTCTTGGTTATTATTTTACTATATTTTAGATCAGTGCAACTGTTAATCTTCAATTCATCATTCATAATTACAATAAACTGGGTCTATGGTCTCTGTGAAACTTTCATAGAAGAGAAACAAAACTGAGTGATAACTTTGCATTTCTAAAATGTAAAATAATTGAATTTTTTTATAAAATGCTACAGATTATTCCAAAGTTTAAAGCACCAAAAACGTTTTTAAAGATGTTATATAAATAACCACAAAAGTTCTACTTTCAAATAAAATTTATAAAAATATTAAGGCCATAGATAGCCTAGTATCACAAAATAGTTTGAATAAGTTATATTTTGGTTCAGAGAAGAGAGAGATCAATTTGAACAGAATATACAAGCAGGTCCTAAAGAATGGAGAGCTCTCAGTGTGTTCTTACTATGTCTTCAAGATATTTAATATCTGTTCACTTCTGTCCTGTCCTCTGTATGTCTGTCTCATTTGTTTTTCCCATTCTACAGTCCAACTCTCTTGGTACTACTTGCATAGAATTTAATTTGGTTGCTCATCCTCCCTGCAAAATATTAGCCATAACCATCGATTCCACATTAACTGCAAACTTTCTGATCTAATTAATGAAATTTCTCTTTATCTAAATTCAGAACTCCTAGGAAATAGAATCAATCTCATTGGTCCATTTTGACTAAGGGGTTAAAAGGGCAATTTTCACATGCTTCTATTAGATAATGGCATATATCTTTTTTAAGTGGAAATTAGCAATGAAGAAATAATACCAAGTGTTGAAGCTTGGTGAGATTTGAGTAGACTAATGAGATATTTGTATGACAATTTTATTTAGTAAAATGTAAGAAAAATTTTTCTGTTTACTCCAATAAACATGCCCTTACTCATTGCTGTCAGGCAGATTTCTATTCTCACAATTCACCCACCATTTCATACTGATTTCTGTTTCTATCCAATTTATTATTCTTCATTTATCTCCTTTTTCTGGAAGCTTCTCTAACAAACAAATCAAATTTCTTTGTATGTTTGTTTCACAAAACTTACATTTTAATATGCCATTCAACCACTAATTTTGTCACACATTTACTATATGTTTGTAGTTACACCTGCTCAGTTATAGAATTCTTGAAGGTATACAGCTTTTTGTACTTGTTTTTCAGTAATTGTATTCATATATAATCTACTATAAAATTCTGCTACTGAATATGAAGTCTGATGCTAGCCTCTTGTGTCTGTTACACATCACTCCTCTTTGAAATACCAGAATAAGTTCAGGGCTATAACTATATAGCTGAATGCAATAAAAACAGTGTCATCGAATTACAGGAAGATATTACAGAGGTTTATTCTAGATTGTTTTGAGAATATGACTTTACTTTTGTGCCTTTGTTGGTAAAATGTGTGAAATATTTTTACCTACCAAAAATGTAGAAAATAACTAGGTGGGACATGAAAACATAGAAAGTTTCATCCTGGCTAACATGGTGAAACCCTGTCTCTACTAAAAATACAAAAAATTATCAGGGCATGGTGGCATGCACCTGTAGTCCCAGGTACTCAGGAGGCTGAGGCAGGAGAATTGCTTGAACCCGGAAGACGGAGGTTGCAGTGAGCCGAGATTGTGCCACTGCACTGCAGAGCCTGGGTGTCAGAGCAAGACTCTGTCTCAAAAAAAAAAAAAAAAAAAAAAAGAAAGTAAATCAACTTTTCTGAAGAAAAACTGAACTAAGCAATGTCTAATTATTATCTTGTGTAATTCAGAAACAAGTCTAAAATAAAAACTTGAAAATATCTGAAAAAGTAAAACTCAGATTCGTTCGACTTTATAAGATTATAATTGTCAGAATAGTGTTTATATTGATTTTATAGTAAGGAATTTTAATATTTATTAAAATACAGCATCTGTTTCTTTTTTTAAATTTTATTTTACTTAAAGTTCTGGGATACATTTGCAGAACATGCAGGTTTGTTACATAGGTATACACGTGCTATGGTGGTTTGCTGCACCCATCAACCCATCATCCAGGTTTTAAGCCCTGCATGCATTAGGTATTTGTCCTAATTCTCTCCCTCCCCTTGCGCCCCACCCCCCAACAGGCCCTGATGTGTGATGTTCCCCTCCCTGTGTCCATATGTTCTCATTGTTCAACTCCCACTTAGTGAGAACATGTGGTGCTCTTAAATGGAATTATATGCAGTCCTACTCAATGTGGGGTGATTAGATGACATGGCAGAACACAGACTATTTGGTAATATACTAGAATTTTTTTAAAAAAAGAATTCACTGCTTTCTTTGTTGAGAAAGTCTTGCTATCAAGAAAATAATATTATTAAGTTAGTTGAATGGTGTAGATGATTTACCTTTTTGACATACACTCTTTATCAAATTGTAGGTGAGCATTTTGTGCTTATTAATTATGTTGACAATGAATGATAACTATGAACAATTGAACAGCAAAGCTATCTAATTTTTTGGTACAATTTGTAGTAAGGCAGGTATTAACAGAAACAGCTTTGCTTGAGTATGCAAAATCTCTTTTTAGAGTTTTGTCTTGTGGGTCGCAATTGCTATCAATTAATGCTCTCTTTATATTTCTCTGTGAATATATGTTGCCTTTATTTTGAAGAATAATTTTACCAGAAATATAATCATTTGTTGATTTTTTCTTTTTTTAGCGTTTTGTCATTTCATTGTTTTTTATGAAGATGGTGAAAGTTCATATTATTGTCACTAAATAATGTTATCTCTCTTAATGGTTTCATAATTTTCTGTATATTTTAACAGTCTGCTATGATAGTCTAGGTATGGATCTTTTTTGTTTGTCCCACTTGAGATTAAATGAAACCAAATTTGGAAAACTTTTAGCCATTAATTCTTCAATTTTCTTTGTATTTTTTCTTTCCTTCTTCTCTCTGTGGAAGTTCCATTACACATTTTTTGGAGGACTTGATGTTGCCTCACATATTTCTGAGGCTCTGTTCATTTTTTTTTATACTTCTAGTTCTGGGATACATGTACAGAACTTGCAGATTTGTTACATAGGTATACATGTGCCATGGTGGTTTGCTGCACCTATCAACCCATCATCTACATTAGGTATTTCTCCTAATGCTATGCCTCCCTTAGTCCCCCACCCCCTGACAGGCCCTGGTGTGTGATGTTCCCCTCCCTGTGTCCATGTGTTCTCATTGTTCAACTCCCACTTATGAGTGAGAATATGTGGTGTTTGGTTTTCTGTTCCTTTGTTAGTTTGCTGAGAATGATGGTAGCCAGCTTCATCCATGTCCCTGCAAAGGACATTAACTCATCCCTTTTTATGGCTGCATAGTATTCCATGATGTATATGTGCCACATTTTCTTTATCCAGTCTATCATTGACAGGCATTTCAGTTGGTTCCAAGTCCTTGCTATTGTGAAATAGTGTTGCAATAAACATATGTGTGCATGTGTCTTTATATTAGAATGATTTATAATCATTTGGGTATATACCCAGTAATGGGATTGCTGGATCAAATGGTATTTCTGCTTCTAGATCCTTGAGGGATTGCCACACTGTCTTCCACAATGGCTGAACTAATTTACACCCCCACAAACAGGGTAAAAGGGTTCCTATTTCTACAAATTCTCTACAGTATCTGTTGTTTCCTTGATTTTCTTTTTGAGATGGAGTCTCATCGCCCAGGCTGGAGTGCAGTAGCACAATCTCGGCTCACTGCAACCTCTGCCTCCCAGGTTCAAGAGATTCTCCTGCCTCAGACTCCTGAGTAGTTGGGATTACAGGCCCATGCCACAATCCTCAGCAAAGTTTTGTATTTTTAGTAGAGACAGGGTTTCACCATGTGGATCAGGCTAGTCTCGAATTCTTGACCTCATGATCCACCTGCCTCAGCCTCCCAAACTGCTGGCATTACAGTCATGAGCCACTGCACCCAACCGTTTCCTGACTTTTTAATGATCACCACTCTAACTGGTGTGAGATGGTTACTTATTGTGGTTTTGATTTGCATTTCTCTAATGACCAGTGATGATGAGGTTTTTTCCATATGTTTGTTGGCTGCATAAATGTCTTCTTTTGAGAAGTGCCTGTTCATATCCTTTGACCACTTTTTGACGGGGTTGTTTTTTTCTTGTAAATTTGTTTAAGTTCCTTGTAGATTCTGGATACTAGCCCTTTGTCAGACGGATAGATTGCAAAAATTTTCTCCCATTCTGTAGGTTGCCTGTTCATTCTGATGATAGTTTCTTTTGTTGTGCAGAAGCTCTGTAGCTTAATTAGATCTCGTTTGTCAATTTTGGCATTTGTTGCCATTACTTTTGGTGTTTTAGTCATTAAGTCTTTCCCAATGCCTATGTCCTGAATGGTATTGCCTAGGTTTTCTTCTAGTTTTTTTGTTTGCTTGTTTGAGATGGAGTCTCACTCTGTTACCCAGGCTGGAGTGCAGTGGCATGATACTGCCTCACTGCAACCTCCACCTCTCAGGTTCTAGTGATTCTCATGCCTCAGCCTCCTGAGTAGCTGAGACTACAAGCACCTGCCACCACACCCAGTTAATTCTTTGTATTTTTAGTAGAGATGGGGTTTTGCCATGTTGCCTAGGCTGGTCTTGAATTCCCAAGCTGAGGCTATCCACCCACCTCAGCCTCCCAAAGTGCTAGTATTAGAGGTATGAGCCACCATGCCTGGCTCTTCTAGGATTTTTATGGTTTTAGGTCTTACATTTACGTCTTTAATTCATCTTTAGTTAATTTTTGTATAAGGTGTAAGGAAGGGGTCTAGCTTCAGTTTTCTGCATATGGCTAGCCAGTTTTCCCAACACCAGGTATTAAATAGGAAATCCTTTCCCCATTGCTTGTTTTTGTTACGTTTGTCAAAGATGGTTGTAACTTGTGGCATTATTTCTGAGCCCTCTGTTCTGTTTCATTAGTCTGTACATCTGTTTTGGTACCAGTAGCATGCTGTTTTGGTTACTGTAGCCTTGTAGTATAGTTTGAAGACAGGTTGCATGATGCCTCCAGCTTTGTTCATTTTGCTTAGGATTTTCTTGGCTATATGGGCTCTTTTTTGGTTCCATATAAAATTTAAAGTAGTTTTTTTTCTAATTCTGTGAATAAAGTCAATGATAGCTTGATGGGTATAGCATCAAATCTATAAATTACTTTGGGCAATATGGCCATTTTCACAATATTGATTCTTCCTATCCATGAACATGGAATGTTTTTCCATTTGTTTGTGTCCTCTCTTATTTCCTTGAGCAGTGGTTTGTAGCTCTTCTTGAAGAGGTCCTTCACATCCCTTGTAAGTTGTACTCCTAGGTATTTTATTCTCTTTGTAGCAATTGTGAATGGGGGTTCACTCATTATTTGGCTCCGTGTCTGTTATTGGTGTATAGGAATGCTTGTGATTTTTGCACATTGATTTTGTATCCTCAGACGTTGCTGAAGTTAACAGGTTAAGGAGATTTTGCGCTGAGATGATGGAGTTTTGTAAATATACAATCATGTCATATGCAAACAGAAACAATTTGACTTCCTCTCTTGCTATTTGAATATCCTTTATTTCTTTCTCTTGCCTGATTGCCCTGGCCAGAACTTCCAATACTGTGTTTAATAGGAGTGGTAAGAGAGGGCATCCTCGTGCTGGTTTTCAGAGAGAATGCTTCCAGCTCTTGCCCATTCAGTATGATATTGACTGTGGGTTTGTCATATATAGCTCTTATTATTTTGAGATGCTATCCATCAGTACCCAGTTTATAGAGGGCTTTAGCATGAAGCAGTGTTGAATTTTATCAAAGGCCTTTTCTGCATCTATTGAGATAATCATGATTGACTCTGTTTATTTTTAATTTATCTTTTTTGAGACCTATTTTTAAATTGGATAATTTTTATAAGTCTATTTTCAAATTAACTGACTCCTCTATTATTTCAGATCTGCTGTTGAACCCATTTAGTGGTTTTTAATTTTTGTTTTTTGCATACTTAAATTCTAGAAGTTTTAAAATATAGTTCGTTTTTCTATTGAAAACCCTGTTGGAAAAATAATTGCAAACATATTTTCCTTTAACTCTTTAAACAGTTTTCTTTTATCCTTTTAATATACAACAATGCACCACATAACAATGTTTTGTTCAATGATGAACTTTATATGTGATAGTAGTCCCATAACATTAAATGGACCTGAAAAATTCCTGATGCCTAGTGATTTTGTAGCCCTCATAATGTCAAAGAACAATGCATTACTTATATGTTTATGGAGATGTTGATGTAAACAAACCTATTGCACTGCCAGTTTATAAAAGTATAGCACATAAAAATTAAGTACAATGTATAATACTTAATAATAATTTTAACAACTATGTTATTGGTTTATGTATTTACTTCTTATTATTATTGCAGTGTGTATTTTTACACTATTTTTTAAAAATTAAAAACCAGCTTCAGGCAGGTTCTTCAGGAAGTCATCCAGAAGAAGGCATTGTTACCATAGGAGATTACAGCTCCAGTAGTGTTATTTCCCCTGAAAACCTTCCAGTGGGACAAGATGTGGAGATGGAAGACAATGATATTGATGATTCTGAGACTGTGTAGGCCTAGGCTAATTTGAGTGTTGTGTCCTTTTTAAAAGTTAAAAAAAAAAACAATAAAAAGAAGCTTTTAGAATAAGAATGTAAAGAAAAAAATATTTTTGTACAACTACATGATGTGTTAGTGTTTTAAGCAAAGTATTACTACAAAAGATTCAGAAAGTTAAAAAAATTAAAAGGCATATAAAGTAAAAATATTGCAGTAAGTTAAGGCCAATTTATTATTGAAGAAAGAAAAAATACTTACTGTAAAATAAGTGTACAATATTTATATAGCCTACATTAGTGTACAGTCATGTTCTAGGTCTTCACCTGTACTTACCACTCACTTGCAGACACACCCATAACAATTTTAAATCCTGTAAGCTCCATTCATGGTAAGGGCCCTATACAGATGTACCACGTTTACCTTTTGTATTGTCTTTTTACTCTACTTTTTTAAATGTTTAGCTATGCAAATAGTCAGCATAATTACCTACAGGTTTGTATCTAAGGGATGATAGGTTACAGTACAGATATGTAACCTAGGGGTGACAGGTCATACCACATAACCTAGGTAGACTAGACGTGTAGCAGGTTATACTTTTTAGGTTTGAGTAAAGACACTTTATGGTGCTTCGACAAACAATGAAATCTCCTAAAGATGCATTTCTCAGAACCTATCGTTGTAATTAAGTGATGCATGACTATATTTTTAGGAGTGCTTTCTTTGTCTTCTAAATCCAACATACGAACCTACACAGTGGCAGTTTCTGTTGACTGCTTTTTCTTGAGTATGGGTCACACTTTCCAGTATCTTTGTGTATCTCATATATTTTTTGTTAAAAACTAAACAAGTTAGATAATACAGTATAACAATTCCAGATTCTTTTTTCTATTTTAAGAGTTTTTGTATTTTTATAGTAACTTACCTTCCTTTAATCTTTCCTTACATGGTGAGCAGTATTTAATATTCCTGATCTTTCTTTCTTAATTATCATTTTAGGCTGGTTATTTAGAAGTGTCCCAGTGTCTAATAGATTAGTGGTCTGCCAACGTCTGCGCAGTGTTTTTGCTTGAATATCTTGAGATTGTAAAGCTTCCACTTTATGCCAATAGATCTGTATGTGAGTTGGAGAGTGTGTTCTTGTGATCAGCTAATTTTCAAGTCTATCTCTGCTTTTCCTTTCCACTGTGCCATCTTAGGTCTGTTCATGCAGAGTTCCCAAAATCAGCCAAGGATATACGAAGAGCCCACTCAGTGCATCTTTAGCTCTGGTTTATACAATATCCCCATTACGTTTCTGGGTTTGGTTGTTGTTGATGTTTATTTGTTTTGTCACTCAGAATGTAGGTACTTCTACTTTACTATGTGCCACCAAGATTGAAATATGGGACAATTGTTTCTGCAATTTTAACACTTTTAAAAAAATATTAGTATGCCATATTTATATTTCAGAGCTTTTTAGGTCAATAATAATCTGATTTTACCTTTAAACTTCAAGGGCTCTTGAGTAAAGCAGAATGATAAGGTTGAAATAACCTGAGACTTGATTCAAAAAGATCTATACTTGAATCTTGAGGACCAAGTTTATTTAATATGTGAAAACAGTCTCTGACTCCCATGCTTCTTTTTTGTTGTTGCTATTTCTTTTTTGTTATATATGCCAGTGGTTTTTAAAGCCCGACTGTTAAAAGTGAAGTTTAAAAAGATAAAATAATATAAGTATCAGATTTCTAAAAAAATACAAAAAGAAGTTACCTCTCTCTATTCAACACATCGTCAAGAATAAGGATATCACATTTTCTGATTCCATTTAAAATGCAAGCTTACTGAATTACATGCATGATTTAAGTGCAATTTTTATATGATGCAGCCATAGGTAACTTTCTGCTTTACCTTTTTCCAATCTTGTTTCCTCAATGTTATTTTACATCAACAACTAAAGATTCCCGACTCTTCCAAGTTTGCTCACACTTAAGAAGTTCTTATATTAATGAGATTAAAGAAAGAATTCTTATATTTCTGTCACTTAGGAATGACCTAAGTAAATATTAATAGCTTGCTAAATCATCTATAATTCCTCTGAGCTTCTCCTAGTCTAAGCACTCTCTTTCAGGGCCCCTGATGACACATCTTCTAAAAAATTATTGGTGTCTAACTGAATCTCTTTATGAAATAAGCTGAGCTTTGGTGATTTCTTCTTTAAGGTGAAGCCATAAGATCATTTGCATAATTATTGCTTTTTCTATATAGTTTAAACAAAGTTTTGTTCTAAGAGTTAAGAGATATGCTTCTCTCTGGTCTGTTTTTTGTTTGTTTGTTTGTTTGTTTTGAGACGGAGTCTCGCTCTGTCGCCCAGGCTGGAGTGCAGTGGTGTGATCTCAGCTCACTGCAAGCCCTGGCTCCCGGGTTCACGCCATTCTCCTGCCTCAGCCTCCCAAGTAGCTGGAACTACAGGTGCTCACCACCACACCCGGCTAATTTTTTTATATTTTTAGAAGAGACGGGGTTTCACTGTGTTAGCCAGGATGGTCTCGATCTCCTGACATCGTGATCCACCCGCCTCGGCCTCCCAAAGTGCTGGGATTACAGGCATGAGCCACTGCGCCTGGCCTGTTTTTTTTTTTTATTTAATAAGTAAAATTTCTACTAACTATTGAAGGTTCTCATTACTGTCATATCTTATTAGTGTACTTAGATTCCATTGAGAAATCTACGTTGACCCCACATTTTACGTAAAAGACATCATTCTTGATAGGAGTTCTTTTTTTTGAGGGTCGTACCTATTATACTTTAGAACCTTTTTCTATTATTGAGCTAAATTTTTATTTCAAGTACTCACTGAAGAAATATGGTATCTAAGCAAAAAATTTGATTAGGAAAACAGTGGCATTTTTTACATATATTGATGACTCTACAGATATCATAGGTAACTTTGGAATGTATTTTGTAAAATTTATGTCAGTTTTAATTCTCTTTTTAAAAACTGTATTCTAACTGAAGGAAATAGATAATAAAAGAAACATAAACTCTGGTGTTAGATTAAATTGTTTTGAAAACAAGTTTTATTTATAAAACTTTGTTGCAAAGACTAATAAATGTCTTGAGGCAATAATTTAGTTATCATTTTGAAGAAGTGAGTTCAATAATAAATATGGTAATAGTTAACAGTGAAAGATAATATTCATTAGGCACTTACTCAGTGTCAGGATCTTTATTTTTACCATTTAAATAAATCTTGAAAACAATTCTACAAGATAGGTAGCCATGTTTTTTGAACATAGCCACTAAGATTTAGACAGATTAAGTAACTTGCTTAAAGTGACAGAATTTCTAAAAGGTCCGCTCAGTACTTAAACACAAACAGTCTGCCTTCAGAGCCCTGGCAATTACATTTAATGCAATGCTGCCTCTCTACCTTGAACTGATAATCCTGAGTTAGATGATTTTAAAGTAATTCTGATAAATTAGAATTCTATATATTTGAAAAAAAGCAAAAACTGCAATAACTTTTGCACCAACCCAATAATACTTATTACATATAGTCTCCAGTCTTTTTTTGAAAAAACTTTTGAAGATATTAGTTCTGGAACTACTCCAATTGTGCGAACATCCCAGAGATTTTTTGTATCCTCATTGGTCTTGTTTCCATATTGGCCATGGCAAAATCATAAAGTTTCAGCCAAGTGGAAAGATACAGGGCTGGAAATCTGAAGATCTGAATTCTGGCGCTTTCCTCCCAGTAACTTTTTAAGACCTTGTATATAAATCTTTTCAACATGCTAAATTTTAGAATCATATTAAATTGCACCACAGAGGATATTCTCTTCTATTTTATGACTACTTAACATAGAGGCTAAATGATAAAATTATCTATGCTAAGATTTTAGGAAGACACTATCAGAAAAATTCATTGATTTTTCAAAAGTACGACTGGGCCGGGCACGGTGGCTCACGCCTGTAACCCTAGCACTTTGGGAGGCTGAGGCAGGTGGATCACCTGAGGTCAGGAGTTTGAGACAAGCCTGGCCAACATGATGAAACCCCATCTCTACTAAAAATACAAAAATTAGCCGAGCATGGTGGTGGGTGCCTGTAGTTTCAGCTACTTGGGAGGCTGAGGCAGGAGAATCGCTTGAAGCTGGGAAGTGGAGGTTGCAGTGAGCTGAGATTGTGCCATTGCACTCCAGCCTGGAGGACAAGAGCAAGACTCAATCTCAAAAAAAAAAAAAAAACTTGAAATGGAGATAAAGATGAGAAAGTGAATATTTTGATTAGTTACGTTTCATTCCTGAGGTAGGAATTCTTACCTTAGAATTTATTTTTAGTCAATATATTTTTCTTGATATCAAAACTTATTTATAGATTAGTTAACATTCTTCATTTGGCTGAGCTTATGAAAACTGAAAAACAGAAGGAAATAATAATCATCATTATTATGGTAAATGTTTGTTAAGCATTTTACCTATGTGATATCTGTAATCATTAATTTACATGAATTTCCTTATCTAGAAAATAAGAACTGAACATAAGAATAGGGTTAAGAGAGGTTCCTCAACTTGTCCAAAGTCACATAATTAGCAAGTCTTAATTACAAAGTCTTTTGATGCAGAATGCAGAAATTAACCAATGGGATAAACTACTTCTTGAAAAAGGAACTAGTTGAATATTAATTCTGACAAAAGGAAAAGTGGCACAAGGACAGTGGACAAGGACACAGGTTAGTATTCAAGAAGTAAAAATTCCCATTTTGCTTTTACTTTTGGTTCACACTGGTTTTGTATTGTTCCTATTCTTGAAATGTTGGCAGGACACATTGTACCTTTTTTATTTAAAGCTCACTGGTATGCAGTTTTGCTTTATCTAAGACATAGTTTTCCCTATGGTACGTTGGTCTTTGTTAATTCCCAGTTGGATAACTAATGCACCTAACACTTTTTTTGAAAATCCTCCAGACATTTCACACTGTGCAAAATACATCAGCTTAACTCCTAAGCATAATGAACAACTTTGACATTTGCAGTGCTAGGACATTTTGCTCTATGCTGGCAATCTGGCTTCAACATAGTTTCCAGTTATTTTTCTCAATTTCTTCCAATGAGAGGACTCTGCTTTTGTACTAAGCTCTTCATTACCTTTGTTTTTCTCACCTCCTTTTTACCTATTAACAATTTATACATGCAACCTAGTAAACAGTGAAGAGTAAAGGTGAAAGATTTGGCCTCAAATGTTGGCAGACCAGTATCCAAATAAAAACATTATCATATTTAATTATATACTCTCAAGAAAGTTGCTATATATATCTCTCTCTTCTCTCTCTCTCTCTTCTCTCTCTCTCTCTCTCTCTGTCCCCCTCTTTGCTTTCTTCTGTTCCTGAGGGTTGTCAGGAGTTTCAACAAATGCATCATATGAGAAAGGTTCTATTCACACTAAGTCTTTTAAATATTTCTTGCAAAAAAGGCCTAGCTCAATTCTGATATCCTTAATAAAAAGGTTCTGTTTTCACCAATGCAGAGTTAGAATTTTCTCTTTGACTACTTACTATGTGCACTATTCATGGAGGACACAATCTACAGATTGTATGGGATTTAAATTTGTAATAAGTAAAAGTGTCACTGCTTGAATTTTTTCAGTCAGTAAGCTGATCATATTCTGTAGCAGACTATACTATTTTTAAACATTTACAATAGTTACAAACTCATTTTTATAAAGAAAACAATTGGCCTTTTATTATAATTTGACCTTTGTATTTTTTGACTAACATTCAATATTTCTAATTGTCATAAAGAATTTTTCAAGTGATTACCACTTCGTTTTTTTTTTCATGTTAAATACTCCATTTCTTTTAACCAATGTGGGTAGTTCATAGAGCCAATAATATAATTTAATTTTAATAATTTATGTTATTTAATTTTACTAATTTACTGTAATATAAACAATTATTAGAATTATCTTCTGTGATGGTTTGAACATATCCTATCTAAAATGTAGTTGTTGCTAATGTAATGATATTAATAAGTGGGCCCTTTAAGAGGGATTAGACCCTGATAACTTCTTTCACATGAATGGGATTAAGGCCCTTATAAAAGAGACTTTACACAGTGTTTGAGTTTCTTACCCTTCCACCATCTTCCATGTGAGGGCACAACGTTGCTTCTCTCTGGAAGACGCAGCAATAAGGCACTACTGTGGAAGCTAAGAAAGCAACTCATCACCCAGCCTCACCAGCCAGCATCTTGATTTTGGAGAACGGTGAGAAAAAATTTCCCAAAATACCAACTCTCAGGTATTTTGTTATGGCAGTATTTTTAAAAAACACACCTTCTTTAAACATTCTTACTATCAGTGGGCTGTCCAGGTGCTGTGTTTTATGTAACTTTCATTTCAAATAAAGTGGAACTATGTTTTTTTTTTTTTAACAGGAAACTGGGTCCTTTATTTTTATATACTCAGTTATTATCAAAAGACAGAGAAACATAAATTTATCTTCTTATTTCTCTTTTTCCAACTTGTATGTTTGTCTTTGTTACTATCTGGAATTGCTCTTATTTAAGAATTTGGTCTAGGCCGGGCGCGGTAGCTCAAGCCTGTAATCCCAGCACTTTGGGAGGCCGAGGCAGGCGGATCACAAGGTCAGAAGATCGAGACCATAGTGGCTAACACGGTGAAGCCCCGTCTCTACTAAAAATACAAAAAATTAGCCGGGCGTAGTGGCGGGCGTCTGTAGTCCCAGCTACTTGGGAGGCTGAGGCAGGAGAATGGCGTGAACCCGGGAAGCGGAGCTTGCAGTGAGCTGAGATGGCGCCACTGCACTCCAGCCTGAGCGACAGAGCAAGACTCCGTCTCAAAAAAAAAAAAAAAAAAAAAAAAAAAAAAAAAAAAGAATTTGGTCTAAGAATTACCACAAGTGTGTTCATCTATCTTGTTATATACTTATTCTTTCTTCCATTTAAGTTGTTATTCAATTAAGGAAACTTCCTGTATTATGTGTCTTTGCATTCTTCTTAGCTTCTGAAGAAAGAATAAATATTTGCTAAGAAACAACAGTTCCTCAATTTTTATACATGAAGGGCTCTGTAGGATGAGGGGATTTTTGTAGGAGAGATACAACTGTAATCAAGTGGTTTGTTAATTCCTTGAAAGGAAAAAACATACTTTTAAAAATAAAAAAAAATAAATTCTTAATAATATGATGCAGGTAATATGTAAAATTGAAGTTAAAAAATCCAAAAGCAGAATGATAGAAGGCTGATCTGGAAGGAAAATAAGAATATGTATAGGAATAAAAAATGGAAGTTATCCCAGGTGACAGAAGACAGAACTTGGGAGTACACGATGTGTAATATGTATAGAGATGGAGTTGGCTTAAAAAGATATAAGTTTTAGATAAATAAAATCAGAGTAGTTTGTAGAATATTTTGAAAGTTAAATGTCTTAGTTCATTTTCTGTTATAACAGAATATGAGGCTGGGTAATATACCAAAAAAAGCAAATTTATTCCTTATGGTTCTGAGAGCTGGAAAGTTTAAGATTAAGGGGCTGGCATGTTGTGAGGACCTTCTTGCTGAGTCATGACTTGGTGGAAAGCATTACATGCCAATGAGGAAGAGCATGCCCATCAGCCTAGGTCTCTCTTTCTCTTTTTATAAAGCCACCAGTCCCATCATTGGGGCCTCTTCATGCTAGCATTATCTCATTTTAATTATCTTACAAAGGCGTCACCTCCAAACAACATATCGGTTTGGGGATTTAAGTTTCCAACACTTGACGTTTGAAGGAAACATTCAAAGCATAGCATCAAGAAACATTTAGACTTGACTCAGTAGGTAATTGGGTATTAAATTATTAAGAGGTTAGTGACATGATTGCTAATTGCATTTTGGCAGATTAGTCTGGCCTTAGGTAGGAGGGTCTAAGAAGAAAAATAGATCTGAACAATGAAACTGACTACAAAGCTTTTGCAAATATCAGAGAGAGTAAGGGTCTGGACTAAGATCAGGAAGTTTAAAAAAATTTCTGTAGAATAAATGAAAGCATTTGAGCATTTGAAAGAGGGTATTAGGTGTTGAATTCTTTTTTTAAATGTTTTGGTTTCAAAACACTAAATTTTTAAAGCATATATTTACTATATATGTCTAATAGATCAGTTTTGATGATATTTTCTCATTCTTAATCTGGCACTTCCTAAAACAAATAAGAAGGTAGAACCTGCTAAGGACATTCTGATTCACTTTTCTCTCAACATATGCAAGCTTTAGCTCTTATTTCAATTCACTTTTAATTCATTAATTTATATTGCATGATATTATCAAATGTCTTGCTAGTAAATTTGAACTGGTTATTCATATATAGGTGTCACTTAATGATGAAGATACATTCTGAGGCATGAACAATCTGGCAGTTTTGTCACTGTGTGAATATCATAGAGTATTTGTGTATCCAAACATATCCAGTCCTATAAAAGGTACAGTAAAAATACAGTAGTATAATCTTATGGGACTATCATTGCATATGTGGTGCATCATTGATGAAAACATTGTTATATGGTATGTAATTATAATTGAGTTTAACTATATGATATTTTAATAGTATGTATTTTTATTATTAGGTTACTCTAAATGTGTTTAACAGAGTGCTTCCTTTTTTTGTAATGATAAAGCTAAAACACAATTCTTATACATGATGAGTATAGTTTGAGAAACAAAGAATAAATAAAACTTTTTAATATGGTTATTTTCTGTATTTAAAAGTAGAAATTTCCCTAAGATAGTTTGAGTGTCCTACTTCTAATAATATTTATTCAGGTGTAAAGACTTGGTGGAAATCTATCTGTGAAGAGTGGATAATTAAAATTTAAGATTAAACTAGATGTCCAATGAGATGAAAGCCAAATCATTACTATGTTTTGGCATAATCAGGGATGATAAGTTTGTGAGAGATGGATTTCCAAGGTTAGCAGAAATGTGTTTCTCTACATTTCAATAATCTGTCCTGCACTTAAGTTTATAATTTAGTTAACGTCCAGCAATTATGCTTTATTTTACTGTATCATATTAAGATTGGATTCAAAAGTATATGTAATATTCCCAACCATTCTACCAATTAACACTAATAGGTTAAAATGACAATTATACTCTTTTCATAACCACATCTATTTGATTTGATAAGAAAATGCTAACATCTGGAATTTTGCCATAATCATGTTTTAGCCTATTGATCACTGTCTTAGTAAGCTTGGGATGCCATAAATGTAGTAGCTTAAACACCATAAATTTATTTTCTCACAGTTCTTGAGGCTGGAAGTCTTTCTGTGTAACCGCATAGTAGAGAGAGAGTGAGCAACAGAGAATGTGCACAAGCAAGCTCTAGTGTCTCTTCCTATAAAGGCACTAATCTTAACCTGAGGGCACCACTGTCATGAACTCATCTAAGCCTAATTATCTACCAAAGGACTCATCTCCAAAAATCATCACATTGAGGGTTATGGCCCCAACATATGAATTTGCGGGGGACACAATTTTCTCCATAACATTCTGCCCTCAGGCCCCCTCAAATTTATTTTATTCTCACTTACCAAATACATTCATTTCATCCCAATAGGTACAAGAGTGTAAATTCATTTCACCATTGACTCTAGAGTCCAAATGTGGAAGTCTCATCTAAGTATAACCTAAATCAGATGTGAATGAGAATTGAGGTATGATTTATCCTGAGACAAAATTTACCTACAGCTGTGAACCTGTGAAACCAGAAACGCACATGCTTCCAAAATGTAAAGATGGAACAACCATAAACAGTCCATTTTCCAGGAAGATCAGCTGGCTATTTTGTCACAGGGTGAGCCATTTCCATCATAAAAAAAGAGAGCATTTTGTTCTTACTACAAAAGACAATTACTCTGAATATGGATTTGTCTTACTTGTGCAAATTGCTTCTGCCAAACCTGTTATCTGTGGACTTATAGAATTGGCTATCATGGAATTTTGCCCAGCATTACTTCTGATCAGGGAACTCACTTAACAGCAAAATACTTTTGGCAATGGGCAAATGTTTATTGAATTTAGAGGTTTTTACAATGTTGCCCACCGTACTGATGCAGCTCGATTGATAGAGTGGTGGAAGTCTTTTGAAGACTCATTTACAGGACCAGATAAGTGGCAATAACTTGCATGTCTACAACAACGTTATGCAGAAGGCAGTATATCCTCTGAATCAGTGTCCAATATATGGTGTTGTTTCTCTAACAGCCACAATTTATTTGTCCAAGAATTGAGGGCTCAAAATGGAAGTGGCACCATTCATTACTACCCTTAATGGTCCATTAATAATTTTTTTTTCTGTTTCCACTTTCTTAGTTGGCCCAAAGTCTTATTTCCAAGGAGAGAAATGCTTTCACCAGGAGATTCAACAATGATTTCACTGAACTGGACATTAAGGCTGCTGCCCAGGTGCTTTGAAGTCCTCATGCCTCTGAATCAACAGGGAGAAAAGGCAGTTACTCTGCTGGCTGGAGTGAGTGATGCTGACTACCAAGGGAAAACTGGATGACTACTCCACAGTAAGGAAGAATACAGCAGATCCCTTACACCATCTCTTAGTATTACTGTGTCCTGTGATTAAGGTCAGTGGAAAATTAAAACAACCCATTCCAGTCAGGACTAATTGTCCAGACTCTTCAGGAATGAAAGTTTGTGTCACTTCACTGAGCAGAAAATACAACCAGCTAAGGTGCTTGCTGAAGATAAAGGGAACACAAAATGGGAGGTGCAAAAAAAGTAGTTATAAATACCAGCTATGACAGCATGACCAGCTACAGAAATGAAGACTGTAATTGTCCTAAGTATTCCTTCTTATTTTGTGGTGTGTGTGTATGTTAAGCAAATTGCTTTGTTTTCTTCCCTCTCTTGTTTCCCTGTTGTGGAACGTAAGAAGCACTGACTCATAGTATTTAAAAATTGCTAATTTTACATTATGGTATTTGAGTTATGGAATATCAAGGACAAGAGTAAATATCCTTCAAGAATTTTACTCCTCTTCAGAAGAAGAAGTTTGTTTTTATGTGTACATGGGATAGCTGTATTATGTAGGTGCAATTGTGCCCTTGTTATTCCTTCTATGAAAAGATTAAATATGGTTTGAGGAGAGGCATGGTTACCAGGTTGACAAAGATTGAACTTACAATGGTTAATTTTATGTATAAACTTATTATACATAAAGTCTTGGGTTACTCAGGTATTTGGTTACACATTATGCTGGATGTGTCTGTGAGAGTATTTTTGAATAAGATTAACATTTGAATTGGTAGACTAAGAAAAGCAGATGCTTTCCCCAGTGAGTGGGCCTCATCCAATCTGTTGAAGACCTAGATAACAAAAAAAAAAAAAAATGGCTGAATGAGAGACAACTCTCTTTCTGCCTGACTGTGTTGAAGATAGGACATTGGTCTCCTCCTAACTTTGGACTCAGAATCAGAGTTTGCATATTTAGCTTTCTTGGTTCCTAAGCCTTTGGACTGTAACTGAAACTAGACTATTGGCACTCCTGGTCTTTAGTTTACTGAGCGCAGATCTTGGGGCATCTCATCATCCATAGTTTCATGAGTCAATTCCTTATAATAAATATATAATAACATATTATTTATAAGTGTTTTACATTACATTTTGTTGGTTTTGTTTCTCTGGAGAACCTAAACTGGGTCTCCACTCACTAAATTCTATCATTACAGGAACATGGACATAATGTTTCTGCTTTTCAGATTGAAGTTAATCTATGGATCAGCCTTTCTGTAACACTTAAACACCTCATTTTAAACATTTGCAAAGGTATTTTAAATTCTGCTTACACCCTTGACCTATGAACTAAAATTTGGGACTAAAGATATGTAGAAAAAATAAATAGAAAAGAAAACAGGAGTGTTATAATTCATTTTTTTATTTTTATTTTTGGTCCTTGTCAAACAGCAAGCCTATGAATATATCCATTTTTTTAATTGTACAAATGTATGGGGTAAAGTGTGATGTTTCAATGTATGTATGCATTGTAAAATGATCAAATCATAATAATTAGCATACCCATCATGTGAAACATTTATCTTTTATTTTTCTTTCCTTTTTGAGACAGGGTCTTGTTGTGTCACCCAGGCTGGAGTGCAGTGGTGTGGTCTTGATTCACTGCTATTTCTGCCTCCCAGCCTCAAGTGATTCTATCACCTCAGCCTCCCGAGTAGCTGGGACCACAGGTGCACACCACTATGCCTGGCTAATTTTTGTTTTCTTTTCTTCCTTCTTTCTTTCTTTTTTTTTTTTTTTTCTCGAACTCCTGACCTCACGCGAACCACCCGCCTTGGCCCCCCAAGTGCTGGGATTACAGGCGAGAGCTACTATACCCGTCCAACATTTATAATTTATTTGTGGTGATAACCTTTCTTCTAATTATCTAAAAATATGTAGTGCATTCTTATTAGCTTTATTTAGTTTACTGTGTAGTACAGTATCAGAACATATTATTTCTCTGAAACTGTAAATTTGCACCTGTTGGCCAACCTGTTCATATCACTTTACCCCTTACACTGCCCAGCCTCTGTTAACCACTATTTACTCTGCTTTTATGAGACATACTTTTTTAGATTCTACACAGAAGAACCAGCAATGTTTGTCCTTGGGTGCCTGGCTTATTCCAGGTTTACCCATGTTGCTGCAAATGACAGAATTTCATTTTGGTTTATGACTTAATAGTATTGGGTACACAAATACACATATAAACACACACACATATCACATTTTCTTTATCCATTTACCCATAGATAGGCAGAGGTTGATGCCATATCTTGGCTATTGTGGATAGCATGGCAATAAACATGTAGGTGCAGACATCTCATCGCATACTTTCATATACTTTGGATATACACCCAGTAATGGGATTGCTGGATCATATGGTAGTCCTATTTTTAATTTTTTAACCTCCATACTGCTTTTCATAATGGCTTTACTAGTATACATTTTCATCATCAGTGTGTAACAATTCTTTCTTCACATCTTCACCAGCATTTGTTATGTCTCGTCTTTTCGATACTAGTCATTCTAACTGGGGTGAGGTGATATCTCATTGTGGTTTTGATTTACATTTTCCTGATGATTAGAGTTGTTGAACACTTTTTCATACACTCGCTGGATATTTATATGTCTTCTTTTGAGAAATATCCGGTCCCTTTTGCTCACATTTTTAACTGCATTATTTTTTTCTAAGTTGTTTGAATTATTTATATATTTCTGATATTAATTTTTTGTCAGATAGTTTGCAAATATTTTATTTCATTCTGCAGGTTATTTCTTCACTTTATTAACGGTTTTCTTTGCTATGCAGAAACTGTTTAGCTTGATCAAATTTCTTTTGTGTATTTTTTATTTTGTCGCCTGTGCTCATGAGCTATTACCCCAAAAAATCTTTGCCCAGACCAATGTCCTATAATATTTATTCAATGTTTTCTTCCAAGTAGTTTTATAGTTTCAGGTTATACATTTAAATCTCTAATCAATTTTGAGATGATTTTTGTATATGGTGAAAGACAGGAATCTGGTTTCATTCTTCTACCTATGGATATCTAGTTATCTCAGTACCGTTTATTAAAGAGGTTGTCCTTTCCCTATTGTATATTCTTGGCATGTATGTCAAGAATGAGTTGGCTATAAGTGCGTGGATTTACTTCTGAGCTCTCTGCTTTATTCCTTTAGTCTATGAATCTGTTTTTATGCCAGCACCATGCTTTTTTAATTACTTTAACTTTGCAGTACATTTTGGATTTAGGTAGTGTGATTCCTTCAGCTTTGTTATTTTTGCTCAGGATTGTTTAGCTATTCAGGGTCTTTTGTGGTTCCATATAAATTTTAGCATTATTTTTTTCTATTTCTGTGAAGAATGTCATTGATATTTTTATAGGGGCTACATTGAATCTGTAGATCACTTTAGGTACTGTAGACATTTTAACAATATTAATTTTTCTAATCCATGAGCTTGGGATAGCTTTTCATTTTTGTGTGTGTCCTCTTCAATTTCTTTCATCAGTGTCTTATAGATTTTCTTGTGAGACTTTTTACTTCCTTTTACATTTATTTATTGGTATTCTACTTATTTTGTAGCTTTTGAAATGAGATTGCTTTCTTGAATATTTTTTCAAACTGAATGTGTCAGCATATAGAAATGCAACTGATATTTGTCTGTTGATTTTATATCTTGCAACATTACTGAATTCATTCATCAATTCTAAGAGATTTTTGGTTTGGTCTTTAGGTTTTTCTCAATATAAGATCATGTCACCTACAGACAAGAATAACTTGACTTCTTCCTTTCCTATTGTCCTATCGGGATATCCTTTCTTTCTTTCTCTTGGCTAATTGCTCTGGCTAGGTCTTCCAGTAATATGTCAAATAAAAGTGGAAAAGTGGGCATTTTTGTCTTGTTCCAGATCTTAGTGGGGAGGTTTTCAATTTTTCCTTATTGAGTATGATATTAGCTGCGTGCTTGTCATACATGACAATTATTATGTTAAGGTATATTACTTCTATACTTGTTGAGAGTTTTTATCACGAATGGCTGTTGAGTTTTATCAAATTTTTTTCAACCCCTATTGAAATGATCATAGGCTTTTTGTCCTTCATTCTGTTGATATAATGTATAATGTTTATTAATTTGTGTATATTGAATTATTCTGGTATTCCTGGAATTAATTCCATCTGATCATGATGAATGATTTTTTAATTTATTACCGAATTCTGTTTGTTAATATTTTGTGAAAGGTTTTTGCATCTGTGTTCATCAGAGATATTGTCCTTTAGTTTTCTTTGGTGGTTGTCGTCAATGTTGATTTTGTTTCTTTGTCTAGTTTTGGTATTAGGATAATGCTGACCTCATTTGCATGAAAAAAGATACTCCATGTAAATAGACACTGGAAACCAAAAAAAGAGTTGGAATGGTCAGCTGCAGAATCCATGAGGCTGCTCATGTTACCCCGTAATCCCATACAGCACAGAATAGTGAAACTTCTTTCACTTGAGGGAAAAAAGAATTGAGTGAGAAATGAATTTAGAAATATTTCCTTTTATTCCTTTTTTTGGGAAGAGTTTTGTAGAATTGCTATAAATTATTTAAATGTTTGGTACAATTCAGCAGTGAAACCATCAGATCCTGGAGTTATCTTGGATGGAAAAAATTTTGTTATTGTTTTGATCTGTTACTCATTATTGGTTTGTTCAGCCTTTTCATTTCTACATGATTTAATCATAGTAAGGTGTATATGTTAAGGAACTTATGATTTCTTCTAGGTTTTCCAATTTCTTTGCATATATTTGTTCATAATAGTTACATGATCCTTTATATTTCTGTGATATCAGTTGGAATGTTTCTTTTTGTGTGTCTGATTTTAGTTATTTGAAGCTTCTCTCTTTTTCATAGTCTAGCTAAAAGTATATACATTTGTTTATTCTTTCAAAAAAACATCTGTTTCATTGATCATTGTAATTTTTTAGTCTATTTCATTTATTTGTTTTTAATTTTTTTTTCTTTTACTTATTTTGGGTTTCGATTGTTCTTCTGGTTCATGAGGTATAATGTCAAGATGTTTATTTGAGGTCTTTTTTTACAGGAGCCTTTATTGCTATAGATGTCCCTCTTCGAACTGCTTTTGCCGTACCCCATAGTTTTCAGTATGTTGTGTTTCCATTTTCATTTGCTTCATGAAATCTTTAAATTTCCCATTTAATTTTGAATTGCTTCATTAGCTGCTCATGAGTATGTTGTTTAATTACTACATATTTGTACAGTTTCCAAAGCTCCCCTTGTTATGCAGTTCTTGTTTTATTCTATTGCTGTCTGAAAAGATACTTTATATGATATGCCTTTTTTTTTTTTTTTTTTTTTTTTTTTTTTTTGAGACAGAGTCTCACTCTGACGCCAGGCTGGAGTGCAATGGCACAATCTCGGCTCACTGCAACCTCCACCTCCTGGGCTCAAGCAATTCTCATGCCTCAGCCTCCCGAGTAGCTGGGATTACAGGCACATGCCACCACATCCAGCTAATTTTTGGATTTTTAGTAGAGACAGGGTTTCACCTTGTTGGCCAGGATGGTCTCGATCTCCTGACCTCATGATCCACCCACCTCAACCTCCCAGCGTTCTGGGATTACAGATGTGAGCCACCACACCCAGCCACCTTTGTTTTTTAAAAAAATGTGTTAAGTCTTGTTTTGTGGCCTAACATGTGGCCTATCTTGAAGCATGTTCCATGTGCTGTTAAGAACAATGTCTCTACTGCAGCCATTAGGTGAATGTTTTTTAAATGTCTGTTAGGTCTGTTTGGTCTAGAGTAAAGTTTATCTACAATATTTTTCTTGATATTTTATCTGAATGATCTGTTCATTGCTGAAAGTGGTGTGTTGAAGTCCCCTACCATTATTGTATTGCAATCAATCACTCCCTTTATGTCTGTTAATATTGGCTTTATATACATATGTGCTCCAGTGTTTGGTGCATATATATTAACAATATTATACCATCCTCCCATATTGACCTCTTCATCATTATATAGTGGCCTTCTTTTGCTTTTGTTTTCTGTTTTTGACATAAAATCTTTTTTATCTGAAATAAGCATAGCTGTTCCTTCTCTCTTATGGCTTCCAGTGTCCATTTGCATGGAATATCTTTTTTCATCCTTTCATTTTCAGCCTCTGTGTGCCTTTTTTTTTTAATTTTTTTTTATTTTAGACAGAGTCTAGCTCTGTCACCCAGGCTGGAGTGCAGTGGTGCAATCTCAGTTCATTGCAAGCTCCACCTGCCAGGTTCCCACCATTCTCCTGCCTCAGCCTCCCAAGTAGCTGGGACTACAGGCACCCGCCACCACACCCAGCTAATTTTTTGTATTTTTAATAGAGACAGGTTTTCACCATGTTAGCCAGGATGGTCTCGATCTCCTGACCTTGTTATCCACCTGCCTCAGTCTCCCAAAATGCTGGGATTACAGGCATGAGCCACCGCACCAGGCCCTCTGTGTGTCTTTATAGGTGAAGTAATTTTGTTGTAGACAGCATGTAGCTGAGTCTTGTTTAATTTTTTAATCATTCAGCCACTCTGTCTTTTAATTAAATAATTTAGTTCATTTACATTCAAGTTTATATTGAACAGGACTTACTGCTACAATTTTGTTATTTGTTTTCTGGCTGATTTGTAACTCCTTTATTTATTTATTTTTCTTTCTTACTGTCTTCCTTTGTGATTAAGTGATTTTCTTTGGAAGTATGTTTTAACTGTTTGCTCTTTTGATGCTATTCTATAATCTCACAATCTGTCTGGTATGGTTTGGCTCAAATCTCATCTTGAATTGTAACTCCCACAATTCCCATGTGTCATAGGAGGAACCTGGTAGGAGGTAATTGAATCATGAGAGGGAGTCTTTCCTGTGCTGTTGCTGTGATAGTGGATAAGTCTCACAAGATCTGATGGTTTTAAAAATGGGAGTTTCCCTGAACAAGCTCTCTCTTTGCCTGCCACCATCCACATAAGATGTGACTTGCTCCTCCTTGCCTTCCACCATGATTGTGAGACCTCCCCAGCCATGAGGAACTGTAAGCCATTAAAAATCTTTCTTTTGTAAATTGCCCAGTCTCAGGTACGTCTTTATCA
This sequence comes from Homo sapiens, assembly GCF_000001405.40. NCBI lineage: Eukaryota > Metazoa > Chordata > Mammalia > Primates > Hominidae > Homo > Homo sapiens. Next base: position 104,241,403 of record NC_000003.12, read on the forward strand.
GCAGCGTGAAAACAGACTAATAAACTGTCTTTATTATTTTGACTTTTTTCATCCTCTTACTAGTGTTTGTTAATAGCCTGTCTTCAAGCTCACTGATTCCTTGTTGTGCTTAAATCAACTCTGCTTTCAAAATCCTCTAATGCATTTTTCACTTTGTTCATTGTATTTGTTCAGCTTCAGGATTTCTGATTTATTTTTAAAATTATTTCCATCTCTTTGTTAAAATTTTCTTATACATTTCTGAATTATTTCTCTGTGTAGTATTAAAGTTTGTTGTGTTTTCTCAAGACAGCTATTTTGAATTTTTTGTCTGAGAGATCACATATTTCCATCTCTCCAGGGTCAGTCACTGGCATCTTATTTAGTTTACTTTGTAAGCTCATGTTTCTCTGAATGTTCTTGATGCCTTTGAATGTATGTCAATGTCTGAACATTGAAGAATTAGGTATTTATTCCAGTCTTTGTGGTCTTGTTTTGTTTGTGCCTGTTCTTCTTCAGACGACCTTTCTGGAATTCATAGTGGACTAACTATTGAGTTCACCAAGCCTGTCATCACTGCAGGCACTTTAGCACTAAAGGGTGCCCTGTGCCTGAGTTTGCCACAACTTTCTCACAAGCTCTAAGATCCCTGGCCTTTATAGACCTGGAGAAGACTAAGGAATGTTCTCTGGGTTCTCATCCAAAGTTTCTCACTCAATTCCTTCTTCCTTCAAGTGGAAGGAGTCTTTTTATATGCTGTGATGTATGGGATTGAGGAAGGGGTAATATGAGTAATCTTGTGTATTCTGCAGCTGACAACTTGCTAGTTTACCTGAAGCCCATAGCTTCCCAGACCTGTGCAGCACTTGGGATCATGCCCAAGGCCCATGGCCACTACCATCTGCCTGCTGCTGAAATTTATTTGGTGCTCAAGGCCACTTTACTCAGTCAACTATGAAGTAGGATAAGACTCAGGTTCATCCTGCCAAGGCAGTAGATACCCTCTTGGCCTGGGGCAGTTATATAGAAGCCTCATTTGCAGGCATTGATTTGGAATCAGAGTCCCCAAGTTTCTGCTCAGTACTGTGTTTTACTCTGACAGGGCTGGTACTGGATGTCAAGGAAAATCTCATGCACACTTTCCTCTCCTTTCCATAAGGAAATTGAGTCTATCTTCCCCCTTCATTGCTTGGATATGGGGGGAGGTGTGGTATAGACAATGCAAGACTATATGCCCTCCCTAACCTCTTTAATGAATTTTTTGTTGTCGTGCTACAACAAGGTACTATGATTTCTGATCTACTTAGCTCTTGCGAAGGTACTTTTCTTGTGTAGATAGTTCTTCACACTGATGTTTCTATGTTGGTAAAATCACTGAAGTGTTCTATTCTGCCATTTTGCTCCACCTCCTTAGAATACTGTATTGATAAAAACTAAACACTAGGGATATAATGATTTTATAGGCTCAAATAAAAAATGAAGAGAAGTGAAGGTAAAATGTAACATTACAATTTAGGAAGTCATAGATAATTATTAAATGAATAGTTGTGATAAACAGGTTAGAAAAAAATGTCAGATTGAATGAAATTGAGAAATTAGTTTCATTCACTTACTATTTCATTTGCTCCTTTAAAACTGTTTAATATTTTTATGTGTCAGGGACTATTCTAAATATGGATATTAAAGTATATATGGCAGTTATGCTCTGAGCTGTACAGAGAGTACACTCAACAGTGAGGCCAGATTAAACAAACACAGTGATTAAGACATTAATTTAAATACTGATAACCACTATGAAAGGCCTTAGAATTTTAATATTGATAACCACTATGAAAGCTTAATGGGCATGCAACATATATAATCACACAGGGACCTGTGTCTATAAGGACCTTGTACTTGGTTTAATGTTCTGCTCTCACTGTCTTATAATTCTTAAGTTTTTTTGAACAGTTGGCCTCAAATGTTTATTTTTTACTTCACTCTGAAAATTATGTAACCACTAATGCAGATGTTGAAGTGTAGAAGACGAGGTGAGACAGCTGACAGGGTCTAGCACATGTATGATAAATTGGTATAATAATAAGTTATATTTTAATACATGTGAAATGGGCATCCACTAGGATGATTAAAAAGAAGAGAATACAATTACCATTTAGGCTTTAAGTATGATAATCCAATTATGAGAAATATTTATTGTTATTGTAAGTTTTATTTCCAGATAAACATATTCAACGTTTATTGGAAATTTTGACAGTACCATCAGAAAAGGAGATATTTCAGAATTAAGTGAGAGCGAAAGATTACCTAATCTTAAACAATTTCCTTCCTTATTTACTATCTGTCATCAATTTCAGAATCTTTTGTGTAGACCACTCACATCCTTGAATACTTCATTTTCAAGATTACATTCTAGACAAAATAAGTTCCATGCACACAATCAATTGATAAGATGAAAATATGTACTCCTTAGTCCTCCCAGGAACTGGTACTGTACATCCTAATATAAGATCCAGATTCCTTTATCATGATTTTGTTTCCTTTTGAAATGATTTATCAGCATAATTTATAAGTAGGGATGAATGAAACCAAAGTAGTTAATGTTCATTAGGTATAGATGGCCCTTCATTTAATTAGATTATCTGAATCTGTTCCAAAACATCGTTAACTTTTAAATTTTAGTCATCATATTCCTTAATGTGGCCACATTATTCATTTTAACCATCATAGATGTCATATTTCTTTTGAATTTAAAAAATCTTGTCTCTAGTCCCAGTACAATAAAGAAGATGTAGACAATTGTATATAAAAACTACAATTAATTCTTTAAAACATAATTTTCAGACAATGGTAATTAGTTAAAAAATAGTGTTTCATTATAGAGCAAAGGAATTTTCTAGTTACTTCTTTTATTTAATCGGATTCATTCACTCCTAGTAATAGCTCAAGCAAAGAAAATATGCAGCATTCTACTTCCAAGAAGAGTAAAGGGCCCTTACATTTTGTCATAAACTTAAAAAAAAGAAGTCTCAATATATAGGAGGTCAAGTTTGGAATTCATCATATTTTTGAAATTGTATTAAATGTCATGGAAACTCACAAGTTAGGCTGGAGAAATAGATATTTCCTTTTCTTGATCATATTTTACTCTTGATAATTCTTTTAGTTCAAAATGAGTATAACGTGACACTATAATTGTATTTTATGTTCTTGACACAAACAGAGGAATTTTATGATTTGATAATTTGACAGAAGAACAGCTCTTATAATAATTCGATTTTAATATTAACCTGATCTGCTAAACCAAAAAATGAGAGATCAAATTATTAATTTATGTTTAAACAATCTAACATCTTTTAGATTCAATTTTTATTATTTATCTATAGGTATAAAAACACTACGTGTTCCAACAGGTTAAAGACAAGTCTCAGCTTTACTCATATGATTTTCGTATGAGTATATATCTCCTGTTCTCATAAGAAATGCATTCCATAAGAAAAGGAACAGCATTTTTTAGTGTTAATATAATTCTGTTAGACATTCTGAACACTTTAACATAGCTGTGGTCAGCATAATCCACATGAAATATGATTGGACACAAATGGCTTCATGCCTGAACTCCAAATTTTCCTGGTTCTTTCTTTCATTGTAAACTTTCAGGCACGTTGGACCTTCTAATATTTGTCCAAGGAATCTAGACAATGTAGGCAATCTGGAGACAGAGAATTGACAGGAGACTAGGCCAGTGCACCTCATGAATGAAGCATCATGCAATAGAAAGAACATGAATGTTGTAGTCAGGCAGATTCTAGCTTCAAGAATTACGGACTGAGTTGCAAGTCAGTTCAACTCTATGAGTTTTAGTTTCCTGTATATAAAACAGGGACCACCCTGAAGAAAGCACAATAATGAACCACTACAGACATTCATGTCCTAATCCCCAGAACTATGGATATATTACTTTACATGGCAAAATAAATTTGTCAGAAGATTTTGAGAGGGGGAAATTACCCTGGATTATCTGATGGGAACAATTGTAAATCACAAGAGTCCTCCTTTTAAGTGAAAGAGGTACGCAAAAGAGGCAGAGTCAGAGAGAGAGATGTGACAATGGAAACAGAAATTGGAGTGATTTGTCCTGGCATTGCTAACTGTAAAGATGCAGCAAAACCACGTGTTGAAGAACGTGGGTGGCCTATAAAAGCTGAAAAATGAAAGAAATGGTTCTTTCCTAGAGCCTCCAGGAGGAGTACAGCCCTGAAAAAATACCTTGATTTTAGCCAAGATCCATTTCATACTTCGACCTCCAGAACTGTAAGACAATAAATTTGCAAGCCATAGATTTGTGCTGATGTTTTAGCAGTAATAGGAAATTAACATACTTCCTGTTGTAAAATTTCATAAGGATTTAATTTTCCCAGCTCATATTGAGAACCTGAAAAACATTAGTTTTGGGTTGTTTTTTTTTTAATCGCTCAAGGCCTAAAAAGGCCTTGAGCTCTTTAGTTTTAAAGATTTGCTGAGAACTAAATGTGTGAATATGTTTCCTTCTAGTCTATATTATCCAAGAAGAAATGATTATAATTATTTAGGGGAGATGAAAGGACTTGGGCACAGTAAAAATGTGTTGTTTTTCCTTATCATAAACAGCTTCAGTGAGCTGAACAGTAATGCTAACTGACCTTTAAAGTATGGTGAAAATTTTCCTGTGTGCTGTGTATCCAGCTGAATACTGAATCACTATAGTTCACTTGCCCTGTGCCTTTCTTCTGGCAACACGACATTATCAACTGCATCTTTTCCTCTTTAGCCTGTGGAGTTCAATCACAGGTTAGAAGTTTCAATTGTTTTATAGCTTCAAAACACATTTAAACTCTTTCGAGTTGACCAAGAAATCTAACTTAAAAGGATGAAAAACAAACAATTCTGCCTCTTGGAATGTATTATTATGTGTTACTGGTTGGAAATTTACTCCCAGTTTCAGAGCAAGAAATTGTCAGGAGGTTCACAGCTTCTTGTACAGCTGCAAAACTTTCCAGATGACTTACCTGTTTTCAGTTGTGATAAATAAACATGCACACACGCCAACTTGTGCACATTTTCTTACCCAGCATTGGGTACTTAAACTCATCTCCTCTCATAGAATTAATTGCCCCACCCAGAAAATGAAACAGATTTTATTTAACAGATTGGAAGGAGCTATATAGAACTTTACAGCTTGTTTTATCTGCTGTACTATTACATGCACTTTTAATTATTTTAGACATATTTAAATGTAACAAATGTCTCACAGACCTAAGATATGAGATAAAAGTTACAGCTATAATTTATATTAATTTTGGATGATTTGACAGCCTGGAGGTAGAAGTGACTCTCGAGACTCTGAAATTTAAAACAAAAGTGGAGTTTAATTAGAAAATTAATTAACTCCATACATTTATATTTTTAATGAATTAGATGAATCATGCCATATAATTTCACCTGGAAATGTGCATATTTTAATTGCCCGTTTTATAGTAATTACCTTTCTTTTGCTCCCTGGCACTAAAATATAGTTTGAACAGCTTTCTCATCCAAGATCCATGTAGGTCTAGCATATTTTCTTAGATTCTCTTAAATCCACTAAGTTTAAAGTGATTAAAGTTAACGACATCACATTTGACTTGTTTCCTCTTTAGGATTTTTAATTCAACAGGACACATATGTAGAAAAGCTTTCTTCATAGCAGTGTCATTCAAAGTTGTGATTGGAATATAAGCCTTTCACAAAGAGAGGTAGTCATTAGCAGCTGGAGGAAAAGTCACTGGGAGATTGTTGTTTAGACTCCTGCATTGGTTGGGGTAGTGACCTAAATGGTATATATTATCCAATATTGTATAACCACTTTTCTGTGGAAATAAAATTAAAGCTAGAAAAGATTGAAGAAATTAATTAGGAGAAAAATAATAATACATATTTCTGCCAACCATTTTATTTCAAAGAGAATCTGGATAAAAGATTATGAAAATTTAAGTGGGAAATTAGCATATCAGTTACTAGATTCCAGTTATTCCTCTGGCATGAACAGTACACTGCCAGTACACCATTCTGCTTCTCTGTGTACCACCTCCTCAGTTCATGCAGTAAGGCAACAATCTTATTGTAAGAACTACAGACCCAGGGGGAAATCCACTACTCTCTGTAGCTTATGAAAGCTACAGGATTTATTTCTCCTGATGTTAAAAGGGAGTAAGGAGAAGAAGAACAACCTTGTTCACAATAACACACATTAGCAAGAAGACAAAAACATATGCTAAAATCTAAGAAAGATAAGTAATATAGGGAAAAAATTATTTTACCAGAATATAGATTGGAAATATAGAGACCTTCTGTTATACTGTATATAAATTATTTGCAACCACAGTCAATAACAAAGTTGGGAGAGTCAACAGATAGATTATTCTATTATACACAAGTATGTAACTTATGAGAAAGAGGTATTTATCAGTAAATATGAAGCATGAAACAAATTCAATGAATTATGCTATGACAATTTAAACACATTCACAAAAACTAAATCATGAAAGTTTTAAAGAGTTAAAAAATTAAGGTTGAAATAGCTAAATGGTGTTTATGAAATTTTTGTACTATAGGGAAATATTCTAATAAAGTGATTGAAAAATTCAAAATGCAAGTGTAAAATATAACTTTGTAATAGACATGATTGTAATGTACCCCCTGAAGAAATCATCCTGAGAAGAAAACAGGGAAAGATTTGACAATTATGATTGATATATATAAAAAGCTGACACACATTGATACAAAAAATGCTAAAGTTCAAAACAATAACCAGACAAAATAAGCAGCTAATTAACAAAAGAAGAAATCTATTGGTCTAATAATAAACATGGTATAAAAATCAATGTTATTTATAAGCAAATAAATGGGAATTAAAATCAAATTGATGTGCCATTTGTTATTTAAATTGTCATCTGTTTAAATGAGAATAGTTACTAGTAACAAAATCACAGTGAAAAGAGGTGTAAAGTGATACAAACACCTATAATATCACCGATCCCAATGCTACTATATAAAATGGGCTGAGACAAAACCAGTTAGTCCACCATCACCCTGTGCTTCAACCTTATTTAGCACTCCCTCTTCCTCAGAGCTTTGCTACTAAGACCCTAGAATCTTGGTTTTCTATGAAATTATATATTCTAAATAACTTGAGAGGTGTTAATTCAAAAGCTTCTAGAGTATTGGGAATCCTGAAGCTTTGGCATGGCCACATCTGAAGAAGAGCTAGAGAGCAGAAACATACCAGAGGAGGATAACAAATGCCTTTTTTAAGACTGCTAATTTAAAAGACAACAGTATAACAAAGGGTATGTTCACCTGCCTTTTATCTTCCTCTTTAATCAGGCAGAGGTACTCCATGTTTCAAGGTTCAAGGATCAGAAGACAGAGTATAAAATGGGACCAAGTATTCCAACACCTGTTTTCTCTTATTTATACACCTGGTTGAGAAAATGCTGTAAAATGGAAATTCCAAAGATAAGTAGCTGAAAATATGCTTTTATATCTGAGTGATTTACCAAAATAGCTGAAAAGCCTTTTTAAAAAACCCTTATTGCAAGACCGTGCCTAAGTAAAAGAGAAAAAAGAAAACTTGAAAACATACAATGTGATTTTTTAAAAGTACAGGATAGACAACTGTAAATTACATTGAAAATTCTGTTGGTCTTTATTTTCATTAATCACTGGCACTCCTTCAATTAGGAGCAGACTTCTTCAGTAACCATAAAAAATTGAAGACTATGAAGAAATACATCTATTTGAAAAGGTAAAACATAAGGGAAGAAACAAATAATAGACAAGCAGAGAAAGAGATAAGAATGAATTTTGAAGGCTCTTATCTCATTGCCCATGTTTTTACTAAGTGTATATGACAGTGAGTTCACAAGTCTCTCTTGTTCTTTCTATTTGCTGCTATTCAGACTATCAATAATATCTGAGCGACAAATCGGTAACCAAATCAATATAGTTGATGTTGTTTACTGTGATAAAGATAAATTGGAATTAATATTTCTAAATTCATGTCCTCCAGAGATCCACTATTTGAAAATGCATATTGCCTATGTAAATAAAGCAATGAAATAGAACCCCTGACTTTTACTCTTCCTATTACTATTGCTTACACATATTTTATTATAAGTATAACTTGATAAACAGATTTGCTTTTTATCATCTAAGAAACTTTAATTAAGAACAACCTTCAGTTAATCAGATCTTCTTTAAAAATGCTGCTACATTTAACTTCCAGCAATTAGTATTTAAAAAAAAAAACTTGCACTGAGAACTGGATCAACATACTAATGTCCAAAGTATATTCTGGAAACAGTGAACATTTATTAGAGCTTCCATTTTTTGCTATTGTTACATTATTGTACTGTGAGTGTAGATAAGCCCACATTACTAAAATATACTTGATATGTCAAAATTATTGAAAAGATAATTGATTCTGCTGCTACATGGTACTATCTTCTTTAGAGTGGCTCTGTCTTCACTAATGCTCTTATTCCTTCTTACATCACCAAACACAAACATAGTCATATTTTCATTCACCCAACACTTCCCCCATTCTTTTATTATTATAATTGCCATTATTTCTTAATTTTCTGAGATAGAAGCTATTTAATTTGAGCCTCCTCAAATTATTTATTTTTTACTTCACACATATTCTATCTTGATGAATTTTTCTTTCTTTTCCCCTGAATCAAAAGAAAACAGGTTTATTCTTTACAGTTTAGATTTTACTGATTCTAAAATTTCACACCCACCCACCTTGCTCCATCAATTTCCACACCCCTTATTCTATTCCTTTTCTCTTCACTATATCTGTTCTCTCACTTGCAAGGTTTGTGTTTTTTTTCAATCTGTCCACAAAATGTTCTAGGTTCTCATAAGTATGCAAATATACATGTATATGTATATAAATATATATGTATATAAATTATTCCTAGTCATAAGTCCTATCAGTCACTCAATTTAAAGAGATAGAGAGTAGTATTTATTGAAAGCATAACAACCACATTTTGTAGCAAGTATAATACTTCAAGTTTTATTGATGAAATAATTATAGTCTACAGGGTTAACTGTTACTTCATTTACCCACTGTCACAAGTAAATAATATTGGAATTAGATATGGTTCTGCCTAACTCTACAGCACACTATCAAATTTATTATTTGTATAACAGGTTTATTCCCCACAGTACCTTTATACAATATATGCCTCATGACTTCCACAATCTGACTTTTGATTCCACATTTATTTTTAATCTCCTTTCTTAAAGCTAACAACGGATATGTTTGTTACTAAATGTTATAGTTTCTTCCAACATCTTATATTCTGTAAATAGCCTGAGAATTATCACTTATGACTTCTTTCTCATTCTTATAATTCTCCATATACTTCACAAACCATGTCTCCCTAGTTTATTTTCACTCTTTATGGCTGACCTTCTTCTTCTTTTCCTTGTATTTTTTTTCTATCCTCAAAGTTCTGCTCTTTGCTCCTACATTCTTAATCTCTAACCTACACTTATAGTATTATATCTCAACTGAACTATTGTGAAGGCTGAGCAACTGATCATTTTCCCTTTTCATCGTTCGAAATGCCAAGACTGAACTTCTCTGTAGAATAAATTCTGTTCAGTCAGCTAGAAATGACAGATTGAATATAAAAGAAACCTAATTTTTAAATATTTTTTAAGAAAACATACCTAGTATTATTTATATCTAATTTTAAGAGTATGCTAACATGGAACAATAAACAATATTTCAAATACCAATCACCATGAATAATTTGAGCAAAGAAAAATTAACTCACTGAAACAATGGGTAGCTTATAGAATTGTTGAAGTAAGAAAACAGCTTGGAATGTGTGCACAAAGCCTAGAGATCTAGAACCACAGCACAGTCAAGCACAGAAGCAGTGAGGAACCTCTGTCACAGCCACCAGGCACTAGACCACAGTTACATCCACCACTGCTTCTGGCACTGGACTTGGATCCTACTAGTACATCATATGATGATTCAAGGATGACCCCAAAAAAATAAATAAAAAAGTTTAAAAAAAAAGAAAAACAGATTGTTAGAGAGTAGTGAATTGAGTGGGGGGCAGGGTAAAAGAGTTATGAAAATATTCATTCTCATATAAAAAGATATATGTTATGTCTAGATTAATCATAAAATAGCAGCATAAGAAAATCATCTGGACAGGTAAAAAAATCTTTAAAATAATGCAATGAAAGAAATGTTGAAAAAGTTATAACTGCAGATTGAGACTAGGCATGGAGAGGTTACAGAAAGAAAATGCTGCTTTTTATTATAAATTTTTTTGATATATACAAATATTTTCTAAGTTAAAAGAAGCAATTTAAATAAACTTTAGCCTATAAATGTCTCCATAGTTATGTTTTATATTTTTAAAATATTGAACAATTCTACTATTTCTAATTGTTGCATCCATTTTTTCTTAGCTGTATAAAATGATATGCATAGAATTAATCTATTCATTCCCTATTAGTATTAAAAAAAGCACTTTCTAACAGCATTTTTGAGTTTTTTGTCAATTATGAGTGTGCCCATATGTAATAAATAATTAGAAAGAAACAACATAAAATGAATTTGAGATAAAAATGAAATGCATTAATACATATATGACTGACTTGTTTTTGTATTTTTATCTCCCTAATTTAATTCCATTTTGCCTCTTTCTACAATGTTTTACATAGACAATCTTCAAGGTATGAGAGACTCCAGTCTCACAGGGATCTAAGGAGACAACACATTGATAAAATGTTGCTGTCTTTTCCTCAAATCAAAATCCCATTCAAAGGAAAAACACCTTTTTGTCATTGAAATACAGTGATCATGTGATTTGCAGATGTGTCAGAGGCTTTTTGCTAAATTCTAGAAAATTTGTAAAAACTCACTAAATCATACACTCTTATATGTAGAAAAGTTGTAATTATACCTTCATAAAATCAATAAACTCACGTACATCTCTCCATGTGTTTTCTCAAATGTGTAATTCTTTGTGTAATTCTCAAATGAATTATCATTTGAGAAGGCATTACATTCAAATTCTGTCATTCAGACTCCCAAATCATCCCACATAAATGCTCAAAATTGTTTCCCAGATGGGCAGAGTTGAGCTCAAGACAAACATTAAAATAGGTTATTACAAAAATACTTGACCTAAAAATGTATTGGAATATTTAGTCGAATATTGGGGTAACAATCAAAAAAGCATGTATAATTGACTTTAACATTTGGACAATACATTTTTTGAAGTGGATAAAAATGCATGACATGGAAGAAGCAGCCCAACAGGAAGATGTTCAGATAAACCCACATAGTATATGTAAGATTACCTGCATTGAAGAAATTTTCAAGATGGGGATTGAGACAATGTGGACAGACTGTGCATTTCATTCTTTCTATTTTCTCTTGCTGTTTTTTTTTTGTTTGTTTGTTTTTAAGAGATTCTTCTTTCTTTCTGGCAAATTCCCACTAATTCTTCACAAGAACTTAAATTTCATTGTATCTATGAAGGTCACCTCTTATAGAATGTTTGTCTCCTCTAGCTCCTTAGTCCTTTAATTCATACCACTTTCTGAATTTTCACAATTTTAACATTGGATAGACAGATAGATGACAGATACATGAATAGACAGGTTGAGGTGTGTAGATAACAATATAGATAGATAGTGTTCATATCTATATTTATATCTCAACACAACAAGACTATGCCACTGAAGGACAGAAACTGTCTCATATTTATTTTTGTATTCCTAGTTTTTGATACAAAATATTTTACACATTTAATAATTATCCGTTGAGTTAAATTAATATGATTATGCTAAGATTAAGGTTCCATTACATCGTCAGAAAATTATCAAAGATAACATGTAGTAAATATTAAATATATGGTAATGTTAGTAAATGTAACAAGTTATGATAGTATTTTGAAATGGAAAGGTGTCATGATTCAACAACACAGATATTTTACCAGTTTGTCATCTCTTTCTCTGAAGCAACTGAAGGACTTTGATCTGATTTATTACCATTTCCACATTAATAATAAAAAATACATTTGTAAAGCTTGAACTATTTCAAAGCACTTTAATATCCATTATCTTATTTGATTGAGCTGGTTTGATTCCACAACAAAGTTTTGTGAAAGTTTGGGCAAACATTATTTCCTTAATTTATAAATCTAAAATCAAATAACTTTCCCAAAGTTTCAGAAAAAAAGTTAGTGGCAAAGTCTCAGATTTCTTTATGGCCTACTCTGTGTTTCTCTGCTCCTTTTTTTATTACTATCTCTCTGATTTGTAAGTTGCCAGAGAAAAAGAACACATGATCTTTTTAAAACGTCTAATATTTATTCTATGGAGAAAATCAGTAGCCATTCAATCACATGCAATGGCTATAGAAGATGAATAAATGGAATGCTCTACTCCACAAAGGGTTAATGCTAAAGACATTAAAAATTAAAACAGAATTTGAGTTCCCCAATCTTTCTTCATACTATAGTCTGAAAAACACATGACCATAATGCAGTTTCTCAAATAGTTTTTCACTGTTTTTCAAATACTTCCAAGGAAATAGTTCACAGGCAAGGGGGCAGAGTTAAGCCTAAAATATTCAATCCATTAGGCAGTTATAAATCCCTTTAAACCATAAATTTCTTTCAATATAGCTACATTTCTTGATAACATGTAGTAGTCTTATTTGTGTTTCCTTGGTACTAAGTCAGGTTCTTGGAGTATACCCATATTTTGTTCTTTTCAATAAATTAATTATATCTTTGCATACTTCCAATATTCAGGCTTTAATTCGATGAAAATCTGATTCATTTTTAAAGCTTCCCAAGTGATTTTAACACGTAGTCGGACTTACATAAAATTCATTTGGTAAGATGTCAGAAATAGAATAGTGATTTTCAACCTTGGCTACGCATTAGAATTACCTCAGGAGATTAAAAAATAATCCCCATGAACAGACTTCAACCCCCTGAGAAGGGATTCAGGTAGCTGTAGTTTTAATTTTTCCCAGGCAATTCCAATATGCCTCTAAGTATGAGAAACAGTGCAATAGAGGAGACCAATTACCTTGATTGCTTTCATTGATTTACCACTATGTGAGGATATCATTATGCCATTTGCTGCATTACAAGCTTATACATTTTAGCAAAATGGCAGTATGACATGGACGGATCCCTTTATACTTGCTTTTTTCTTTAAAAAAAAAAAAAACCCTCAAGTTACTGTTTCATCTATTGAGCTGTACTCAGTAAGTGGTCTATTGTCTGAATGTGGACTTCCTTCAAAACCTAGCTGTTTCTGTGCAGCTCCATTGCATTCTTCCAAGACACTGCTAATGCAGAAGTGCAGACTAATTAATTAGCTCAGTTGGACCCACAACACTACAAACTGCCACTCCATTTACCTTTTGCACTTCTTATCCAGGCTAAGCAGTTGTTCTAAGTATAATGTGTCTTATGAAATGCTGCAGCTGATGGTATCGACATCTAGTATTCACTGTGTTAAATTATGCTGCCAGTCCACACTATCATTCTTCTGCATCATGAGGAGATCCATTTATTAGAACAAATCTTTATATGGCACCAATTATTTTTACAAAGGACAAACTGGAAACAGGTCCCATAATTGCATGCTAGTCAACCAGTCAAGTCTATAAATAAAATCACTCACTTTTTTATTACCTCTTTTACCTTCAACTATAATTCTCTGCCTGTTGACTGGAGGTCTTTTCTTGTGTTTTATTTTCTTTTTAATTCATCAATAGCAGTGTACACTTTCAGTCCAAAAATCCTGAAACCTTAGAAATTACGTACAAAGTTTCCATACCTCATGTTTGCTTGCCTATATTGAGAGGTAATGTAGAAAAGCCATTACTGGGGCAATGAATATCAGGCCACAATTATGTTGCTAATGAGCAGATTCAGATGCTGGTAAGAAAGTCAGCTTTTTCTTTACTACTGCAATGACTGGAGGAGAATTAGAGCAGTTATTCCCAGCAGAACCACATCTTCCTTTTATTGCTCTCACTCTCTATCAGCCTGTCTCCATTGGTACTCTATGTTCTTATTTTACATATAGATTAATTATATTTGATACATATAGACTCTGCAAGTTAAAGTTCTGACTTTTAAACAAACTGTGGTGACATACGTTGCTTTATTTTCAATTCCCCCCTGATACTTCTCTGTGGTCCTTGTATATGTCCTGTACTTTAGAATATCTAACTTATTTTTTAATATATTTATTCCTCCTACCTCATTCTCTCCTCTTCTCCCCACTCCAACTCTATTTGTAACACTTTCTAAGATTTTTAAAAGAGGATTATTGCCTCATTGTAAGTCAAACCAAAACAGGTATGGCTTTCTGCTCAAAGTGTAAAGTCTTCTACTTGTAACTGCAGGGACAGGGGCTAATTATTGACTGGATACTTCCATAGAGATTCTTTTTAACAACCAAACCCCTGAAAAAAATGAAAAGGACAAATAAATAAACAAAAACCACAAATCCACTCATTTAAAGCTTCTCCTGCTGCTCCTTACTCTGCATTTTTAATCTGAAAATATAATCAAGCAACTACGCTGAGGATAGTTCTACAGTGCAAACACAGGAGTCAGACCCCTTCTTTGCCAGGTTCTTTGAATGACAAATCTTTTCTGGGCCCTAAAAGTGGCTGTTGAGATGAAGAGGCAACTTCTAAGATTCAAGACTTCTTTATGCCACCTTGGGATGAAGAAAAGGTGAAATACAGCACAACACATGAATCCTAAGGTTCAATTCTAAGAATGAACACGTTTGTATATATGCATCTCTTTTCCTAAAGGTAAACTTTATCACCATTATTTCTTGTTGAGGTAGTATTTTTCAGGCAACTTAAAATTTACATAAAATTTTGATTTCTAAAACTGCTTTAGTATTATATGAATTTCCCATTACCTTGACATTTAAAATATTTTAATTTTTTTATTAAAATTTACTTTTGTTATAGCAGACTATCAGTCAAGTCAAAGCATTCTTAGTGATAGCCATGACTCCTCATGAGTATAGTCTGCAATTTATTAAAAACTTCCTGTAACGCTTTGAGTACCAGATTAACTAGAACATGTCGATTCACCATGTCCCCTGTAGTGGATTGAATGATGGGCCCCAAACAATATGTCCATGTCCTAACCCTTGGAATCTATGAATGTAACTTTTTACAGAAAAAACGATATTTGCATATGTAGTTAAATTAAGGCTACTAAGATGAAATTTTCCCAGCTTACACAGGTCGATTTTAAATCTAACCTATTAATATCTTTGTAAGAGACATACGGAGGAGAGATATATACAAAGGTGAAAGACATGAGAATGGAAGCAGAGAATAGAGGTATGCAGTCCTGAGCCAAAGAACACCTAGAGCCACCAGAAGCTGAAAGAGGCAAGTAAGGATTCTGTCTTAAAGCTGCCAGAGGAAGAGTCATCCTGCTGAAACTTTGATTTCAGACTACTGAGTATGGAATTTTGAGAAAATATATTTTTGTTGTTTTAAGCCACCAAGTTTGTGCTAATTTGTTAAAGCAGCCCTAGAAAATTAATATCTCTTCATTTCTTGATAATTTTATATAATTAATTCTATTTTATATATTATGTATTATATAGTAATATAAGTTTTATAGTAAATAATCACAGGTAATATTAAAAAGCCAGATAGAAAAGAAAAGGAGACTTCCTGTATTAAGAAGAACCACCTTAGTCTGTGACTGTAGGAAAAAAAAATTAAAAAAAAAAAAGATAAAGAACAGCCATCTTGCTCTTATAAGACAGGATTAGATTCAGAGTGAGTGATGCTTTTATCATAGTGTTGACTTTACCAGGTAAATAATAGAATGAATATTCTAGGCAGAAGAACCAGCAGGAGCAAGGATATGGAGGCAAGAAAAAGAATAGAGTTAGGGATGTGCAGGTAATTTGGCACTACTGAAAAGTAATATAGGAGAGGCCACATATCAGAGCATGAGGCCAGCAAGGTAACTCTGTGGCAGAATGCGGCGCTTTGATGCCATGTGGAAATGAACACATTTTATCATAGGGATTCTGTTTCTCAAAGGAGACATGTGGAAACCCTTGGGAATGAAGCTGTGTGACACATAAGCATGGTTTGTGCTATGGTTAGGCTTTGCGGAACCACTCAACTCTCATCTTGAATTATAATCCCCATGTGTCAAGGGAGAGACTGACCAGATGGAGGTAATTGGATCATGGGGGCAGTTTTCCTCTTGCTGGTCTCCTGATAGTGAGTTCTCATGAGATCTGACGGTTTGTTTTGTAAGTGTTTTGTAGTGCTTCCTGTGTTCATTCTCCTTCCTGCTGCCTTGTAGAGAAGGTGCCTTGTTTCCCTTTTGCCTTCCATCATGATTTTAAGTTTTCTGAGGCCTCACCAGACATGCTGGACTGTGACTCAATTAAACCTCTTTCCTTTATAAATTACCCAGTCTTGGGCAGTTCTTTATAGTAATTTGAAAATGGGGGAATACAGTTTGTCCTCCTGAAATATTACGTTTACTTAAACATTTGGAGGAAACAAAATAGTGTAACTGATGAGCGAGTTGGAAGACATGTATTGATATATCAACAAAGATATATTATAATACAGGAGATATAATTAGGATAAATTTTAAAAAGCTGTAAAATGAGACCTCACCAGTGGCATGGCTGCGAGTGAATGAAACTAAGAGCAGGTTTGTGTTAGGCTTCACACTGACACAGAAAAAAATTACTCTCCTCTGCCATTAGCAGAAACTCTTTAGGAGAAAACAGTAAGAGGCCTGACTTGCTTAGAGGACAGTCAACAATGTTGATAACAGCATTAGCAACAGTAGATAATATTTATTGATCATTTACTATGTGGTGCATCCTATTATAAGTGCCCAGATAATATTTCTAATGTATCTTTATCAACAGCTTATGAAATAGGTAGCGTTATGACAATATTAAAGGTGAGGAAGCTGATGAGTAGAGAGGTAAAGGCTACATATAAAGGGATCAGGATTTTATTCCAAATATGACTGACTTCAAGATTCTTCTTCTAACTAATGTGTTATATTGTAAAGATTACAGAACCTCATTTTATAACTTAATGCTCTACTTACACACTTACTTAGAAAATGAAGTTCTAGATGTCATCAGATTTGCAAGGAAATTGAAATTTATTGCCAGTAAAATCTTGTTTTATTAATACTTTATTGGCTCTATGGCAGGCCATAGTCATTCACCAAGTTAGTGATTCAAATTGTTGTATAGAGAAATAAATTGAATGAACTTGGAACTTTGAAAAAATGTACAAGTGCCAAACATTTTTGTGATTTTCATAGTTCTGTAATAGAATCAGAATATAGCCTTATAATAAAGGCAATGGACATTTCCCTTCTTTTATTCCGGGAATGAATTAAATAGTGTTTTTGTTTTTCTTTGGTCAGAACTAGGGAAGATCTCCTGAAGCTCAGTTGAGGGAGAAACATTTTCCCTCTTTGGGTCTGTGGTAAGTTTGTCCCATAAGGCATGAAAGACCTGTAGCATTTTCAATGGGCAGTACGTCAGGTGAGATGAGCTGTCTGCCTTTTGGTTTCTTGAGAGCCAGGATGCAAAAGACTGAGATCTTGGATGTGGTATAGATTACATGTAGCGGTTATAACTGTTTGTTTTCTACATGTCTGTAGTAAAGTCCTGTTAACTGTTAACAACTGCTATCTGTGTGTATCCTGGGAATTGGGGAATGGTCTATACTCACCCTTGGAGGAAAATTATTCATTGGGAGCAATTTCAAAAAGAAGTTACTTTCTCATTTAGTGTTAAAATGTCACCTTTACCCTGCAGGGGCCGATTGTGTTTATTTTCTTAAAATACAGCTGTGTAGCAAATTACTGACAGTTATTGTTGTCAGAGAAAAGGTCAGCAAATTTTGAAATGCATAATTCATCATATATACAATAACTCTTTTAAAAACTTTGCCACAAGACTATCAGATCATCAACTGCTACTGTGCAATACAAATGCTGTTGATTATTACTACCCTTCTTTTATTTCAAAATGTAGTGATTAGTAGATCATGCTTCAAGGTTTTATTTTATAAAATTTATTAAGTTGTGAACTTATACATTACTTGATGCCATCTGAGTCTTTAACTCACTTTCCCATTCAAGTACCCACCCCCCATTTATTTTTCCTTTTATGGAAAACTTTAAAACGTATTGTATTCATTTACAATTTCCAATTTTGCTGTTTATTTATTTATTTAACCTTTCTTAAGCCAACACCTGTTAGATTTTTGATCCTACCAAACCACTGGGATTTCTCTTCTTAAAGTCACCAATGACTTTGAAATGGTTAAACCCCTTGTCATTTTTACTTAATCTAGCCACAACATAGGACACAATTGATTAACCTCTCCTCCTTGAAACATTTTCTTCATTTTGTTTCTGGGATACCACATATTCTATGCTTTCTCACTCTCTTTCATTGAAACTTTTTATCTTTCAAACTTCTAAATATTGGAATACCCCAGTGTTGTGTTCTTTTACCTCTTCTTTCTTTTGTTTATACACTCTCTTTTGGTAAGCTCATCTAATAGCATGTCTTTAAATGACATTTATGGTCATGACTGTTCAATGTATAACTCCAACCCAGATCTCTTACCTGAAATCAAGATCTAGCTATCTGCCTGAAACACAAAATATATATATATACACACAGACACATTCATATATACATATATACACATATACATATGAATGTGTGTATATATACACATATATATGAATGTGTGTGTGCATATATATATATGTATTCTTCAATATGTAATATAAATCCCGAATTTGAAGATTCAAATGGAGCTTCTGCTCTCTCTGTACATTCCAAACCAGCATCTTCTTTGGTCTTGCACATTTCAGTTTATAGCAAAGCAATTTCTCCAAGTACTTAAACTAAAATGTTTGTGTCCTTTTGCTTCTTTTCGTCAATCACCATATCTGATCATTTCAACAAATGCCTTTATCTCTGTGCTTCAAATACATTCAAGTTATTGTTTAGTGGGTATTGATATAGTTGGATGTTTGTCCCATGCAAATCTCATGTCGAAATTTGGTCCCCAGTGTTGGAGATGGCCCTTGTGGGAGGTGTTTAGATCCTGGATGCAACAATGGCTTGGTACCATTCTTCTGGTAATGAGTGAGTTCTCATTTTATAAGTTCCTGTGATATTTTATTGTTAAAAAGAAGCCTGCTATCTCCTTCCCTCTTTTATTTTCTTCTTCTTGCCATGTGATGCCTACTCCCCTTTGCCTTCTACCATGAGGAGAAACTCCCTGAAGCTCTCAGCAGATAGAAATCCTGCTGCCATGTTTTTTCTACAGCTTGCAGAACTGTGAGACAAATATATCTCTATTCTTTATAAATTACTCAGTCTAAATATTCCCTTCTAAAAACACAAAAATGACTAATACAATTTTCCCTTGAATTTGGGCATGCTTATGAGGATGAAAGAGGTGACACAGTGTGACTTTAGAGATTAGGTATGTTTCTTTTAGGATGCTCCAACATGTGTGCTGTGAAGAAGCCTGGGCCACTAGGAGCAATCATGTGCTAGTCTTCTATTACAGAGTTTCTGCTGAGTTCTGATATTATTGCCAGTAATAGCCAGATAAGGAAATAAATGAAGGAGCCTCCAGATGATAAGATCTCAGCTATAGAGTCATCTCCAGTCTTTAAGTCTTGCCAGCTGAAGACACAGATATTTTGAAGCAGAGACAAGACACCCCTCAATTCCCTGTTCACATTTCTAATCTACAGACTCTGTGAGTATAATAAAATCGCTGTTTTGCATGTTTACATTTGGAGGTGATTTGTTGTGCAGCAATAGATAATTAGAAAGAGTGAGACTTTAGAGAAGCCATATCTGCTCATACCCAGTTGGGCTGAAATCACTTCAGTTTTATTATCATTCCTTTGATCATGGTTCAGCCATTTGTGCCAATTTAATTGTGAAAACTCCCTTCATAATAGGATTACGATTTTCTGAGTACTCATCTTTTAAAGGTTTTCATAAAGCGATTAGCTAACATCTTAAGGCACAACATAAACTTTGGAAGATTTTATTATTAACAAAGGTAATTCCTTCATTAATACAGTGGGTTTACATCTGTTTCAACAGTGTATTGGAGAATGTTGCATAATTTTATTAGTTTTTATAATATATGATTATATTATAGTTATTTTAAATTTACATGTGGCAAAAAAAGACCAATAATTTTCAGTGTTTTTATCTTCTTTGCTAAGAGTTGTATGAACAAATCCATCTTTAATTCACAGTTTCTTTGCAGGAGTAGTTTTAAATCATTCGGTTATTTTGTGAAGAACATTTCAGTTAAAACAAGATTGTTTAATCCATTAATCTTTTAAGTAGGAACAATTAAATTTCAAACCATTGCAAAATATTTGTTCCTTGTCGTAAGACTGAGTGTACTATTCTCTTGCTGACTGTCAGTTGGGGACTCTCAACTCATAAAGGGCAACCACAGTTTCTTGCCTTTTGATCCTTCCATATGACCTCTCAGACTTTGAATCTCTTCTTTTCAGGAAAGGCTTAACCCCTTTTAAAGTGCACAGCTAATTGGGCCAGACCTACCTAGCTCTCTTTCTATTAATTTAGCATCAATTTGCTAGAAGTCCAATCATAAGAATGATATCCCATTTTATGCAGAGGTCTCGCCCACATTCAAGGGGGGGAATTATCCTAGGCATATATACCAGGTAGGCAGCAATCCTGTGGGCAATCTTAAACTTCTGATTACCATGGATGCTAAAAAAAATCACTAAAAAACAGGTGGCACAGTTGTCTCCTCAGAATTATAGGACCACATTTATCTCAAAAAATCTCAAGAACTATGTGCCCTATGGCTGAGTAAAAATGCTAGTATTGATTTCTATATAGAGATAAATTTTAACTTTTATTGTTATTTAAATAAAAACAATAAAAAAAGTTGTCTAATACTTGGTTTCCTTACACAATGGACCATCATGTCTATATCTTAGCATATGCAGACTTTATTTTCAAGTCCACCCATATAAGATATGTGCACATCAAAAATTGAACATTGTGTTGGTGAATGTAAATTCCAGGATATATGTCATATTTGGGGCTCTCAGATGGTCTCATTTAGCCAGGTTCCCTGGGAACAACTTTTCTAATTTGGTCTCATTTGCATGAAAGATGAGTCTTAGGCAGAGTCCGTTGTTCAGACTGTTTATCCTTGCAGTGCTCTTACAAGACAGATAAATGGCAGCAGGCCATTGTCATTAGTTACATTCCGTCAGTGGTCACCCGGCTGAGAAGGTCTGCGTTCAGAGGCAATTTTTAGAGTTGGGGATTCTTCTCCCTTTCCTATCCCTGTATTTAGTCTGGTTCAGTTATCAGGTGTATCTTTAATAAGGGATTTTAAGCCATTTTTGTAAGGATAAGCTCTGTTTCAAGGCTCGTGAAAGTTATATCTCTGTGGAGGTGGTCTTGTCTCCTGGAAATCTGTAAGCCAGGGTAGGAAATCCTTAGGCCAGGTTGCATCGCACTGCCAAGTGGCACATAGTGTAGGCCCTGTGAGATGTTTTAGTGGGTTTTATGGCTATCATTAATCTTGTAGCCGCATTATATCTCTTATAGCATACTCCAGTCTCATTTCCTATGGATATAAGCAAGATAGATGGGTTCCGGTATGCTGTGTCAAGACGGTGCCTAAGTTAGTAGGTCCTCAATAGAAAATTACTGAATAAATAAATAATAAGTTGAAGTGGTTATGAGCAGAAGTTTACCATAAAAGAAAAATGTAATGGCTGCAAGCTTAGGACTAAAGCAAAGATTTGCCTGTTAAAAGAAATTTGAGACTAGAGGACTGTACAGAAGCACATCGTTCAGTTTCCTTAGATGTGCCTCCCCCAACCCTCCTTTTTATCTACTACTTACAAGAAAAACAGTTATACATTGAATGAAAAAGAATAAAACAGAGCCATTAGAATCTCTGCAAGAGACTGAGGACAGAGGATGGCACTATTTTTTGTTCAATGTAATTTTCTGAATTATCCACTAAGTGGTGAAGTGGCTATTGAAGAAAAATTAATCAATAGAAATACCTGAGTCACAATGAATCACACTAAGTAGTATAGAGACAAAAGTCAGGAAACAGACATGCCAAAACCAGAGAAAATAGGGCCATTGCAAGTTATGGGACCAGTTCCTGAAGCTGAATGATTCAGGGAGCTCTATGCCCTATAACATTTAGAAAATGTTGGGAGAGAATTGGAATCGTCAGATTGCTTGTCTTCAGTTTACGCAAGAACTCACCTGAGAGAAAATACTGTTTTTGTAAATCTATTATCCTCCCTTCCTTACCCACCTTTGGCTTTTGAAGCCTAAGGATACAACTAGAAAAAATATATAACAGGCTCTACAAAAGTGATCTTCTCTAGTCAACCTCTAAGCATGACTTAAAGCCTTCTGTACCTTTCAGACAATAACCCTTTTGTTTTATCAGAACAGAAATTGGGAGAGAGAATATTTTTCATTGGTGACTATGTCACAAGCCAGGGATGATTTATCCTTTATAGAGACAATTTATGATTCTGAGGCTTAATCTATATATATTTGTTAAAACATAACCCCACCTAACTTTTCTTTTAACACAATTTTTATCTTTATTTGCTTTATATTTCTTATGAATTTGCTCATTGACTACATTTTGAACAAGATATATCAATTTTTATTTTATTATCACATTTGATCTATTTTATATTCAGTGTTTTTTTCCAGCTGCACACATCTACATCCATAATATTTATTGTTTATTTTGGGGGGTTATCAATACTCATTAATGACTTTGGGCCTTATAATTTTTTTCTAAGTCTCTCTCTTTTTTAAAAATATGTACTTTTTTAAATAGACAATAAAATTTGTGTGAGATTTCACCTGTAATGAATTTAGGAAATTTTCAACGCACTTGCAGCCTTTCAGAAGCAGTTTTATGAAATGAGGCATAACAGTGTTTTGAACCCAGTTACAAGGTTTTTAAAAAACACAATGTATTTATTACATTTGGGCACATAAAATTTATGTACAAAATTATATCCATTAGATAAAGCAGTTCCTTAGTATATATGGAGCTATTTAATTCAAAGCAGTAGGATCCAGTTACTATGTGTGCTGGATCCAACTCATATCAGTTTGCAAGAGTCAATTGTTAATTTTTCACAAATTTTATAAACATGTTGATATCATATTAACAGGTAGAAATTGATCATGGTAGAAAATATTTTACATCATGGAAATCAGCAAAAGCTAGAAAATAGGGCTTACTCAACTCCCACCCACCCATTTACCCCATCCTTTGGAATGCCAGTTAGGCATTTACCACTATTCTAATTAAGTCTTCAAACCTAAACCAAATTTTACTTAGTAGGGACTTTTATTTTTTATGTTACTTTTTATTTTATTCAAGTTTATGTGACTTAAGTAAAACCTTTAATAAATAGCTAGCTTTAAAAATTATTGCTAACGTGATATTAGAAATGTCTTAAGAGTTGCCAGCATACATTTTTGTTTGCATTTATTGATAAAGCAGTTTCATACATATCTCTGCCAAATACTATAAGGTTTCAAAATTTGGCATAGAGGCTACAAAACTATAACTCAAACCAAAACAGAATGATCGTTGTTTTTGTAATTTTTAATAAATGAAATATTAATATTGGTTTAATGAATATAGTTATATCTTGAATTATTTAGTTAAATATCCTAACTTTTTTTTCCCATAAGTTATTGGGATACAGGTGGTATTTGCTTACATGAGTAAATTCTTCAGTGGTGATTTGTGAGATTTTTGTGCACCCATCACCCAAGCAGTATACACAACACCATATTTGTAGTCTTTTATCCCTTGCCCCCCTCCAACTCTTTCCCCCAAGTCCCAAAAGTCCATTGTATCATTCTTATGCCTTTGTGTCTTCACAGCTTGGCTCCCACATATTAGTGAGGACATATGATGTTTTGTTTTCCATTCCTGAGTTATTTCACTTGGAATAATAGTCTCCAATCATATATATATATATACACACACACACACACACACACACACACATATATCACAGTTTCTTTATCCATTCATTCATTGATGGGCATTTGGGTTGGTTTCATGATCTTGCAATTGTAAGTTGTGCTGCTATAAACACACATGGGCATATTTTTCATATAAAGACTCCTTTTCCAATAAGTAGATATCCATTAGTGGGATTGCTGGATCAAATGGTAGTTCTACTTTTAGTTCTTTAAGGAATCTCCACACTGTTTTCCATAGTGGCTGTACCAGTTTACATTCCCACCAGCAGTGTAGAGGTGTTCCCTGATCACCAAATTCAAGCCAACCTCTACTGTTTTCTGATTTTTTTGATTACGGCTATTCTTGCAGGAGGAAGGTGGTATCACATTATGGTTTTGATTTCTATTTCCCTGATCATTAGTGATGTTGAGCATTTTTTCATATGTTTGATGGCCATTTGTATATATTCTTTTGAGAATTGTCTATTCCTGTCCTTAGCCCACTTTTTGATGGGATTTTTGTTGTTGCTGTTGTTTTGTTTTGTTTTGTTTTCTTACTAATTTATTTGAGTTTGTTGTAGATTCTGGACATTAGTCCTTTTTCAGATGTATAGATTGTGAAGATTTTCTCCCACTCTGGTTTGTCTGTTTACTCTACTGACTGTTCCTTTTGCCATGCAAAAGCTCTTTAGTTTAATTAGGTCCCAGCTATTTATCTTTGTTTTTATTGCATTTGCTTTTGGGTTCTTAGTCATGAAAGCCTTGCCTAAGCCAATGTCTAGAAGAGTTTTTCCAATGTTATCTTCTAGATTTTTTACAGTTTCAGGTGTCAGTTTTAAGTACTTCATCCATCTTGGGTTGATTTTTATATAAGGTGAAAGATGAGGATCCTGTTTCACTCTCCTTCATGCGGCTAGCCAATTATCCCAGCACCATTTGTTGAAAAGGATATCCTTTCCCCAATTTATGTTTTTGTTTGCTTTTTCAAAGATCAGTTGGCTGCAAGTTTTTGGGTTTATTTCTGGGTTCTCTATTCTGTTCCATTGGTCTTATATGCCTATATTTATACCAGTACCACACTGTTCTGGTGACTATGGCCTTAAAGTATGATTTGAAATTGGGTCGTGTGATACCACTATAATTTTTCTTTTTACTTAGTTTTGTTTTGGATATGTGGGCTCTTTTTTGGTTCCATATGAATTTTATAATCTATTTTTCTAATTCTATGAAGAATGATGGTGGTATTTTGATGGGGAATGCATTGAACTTATAGATTGCTTTTGGTAGTATTGTCATTTTTACAATATTGATTCTACTCATCCATGAGCATGGGATGTGTTTCCATTTGTTTGTGTCATCTTTTATTTCTTTCAGCAGTTTTGTAATTTTCCTTGTACAGGTCTTTGACTCCTTGGTTAGGTATATTTCTAAGGTTTTCTTTATTGTTTTTATTTGTATGTGTGTGTGTGTTTTGTTTGTTTTTGTTTTTTTCAGCTGTTGTAAAAGGGGTTGAGTTATTGATTTGATTCTCAGCTTGGTCACTGTTGGTGTATAGAAGAGCTACTTATTTGGGTACATTAATCTTATATCCGGAAACTTTGCTGAATTCTTTTATCAGTTCTAGGAGTTTCTGGAAGAGTCTTCAGGGTTTTCAAGGTAAATGATCATATCACCAGCAAACAGGGACAGTTTGACTTCCTCTTTACCAATTTGGATGCCTTTTATTTCTTTCTCTTGTATGATTGCTCTGGCCAAGACTTCCAGTACTAAGTTGAAGAGAAGTGGTGAGAGTGGGCATCCTTGTCTTGTTCCAGTTCTTAGAGAGGGTGCTTTCAACTTTTCCCCATTCAGTATTATGTTGGCTGTGGGTTTGTCATCGATGGCTTTTATTACATTGAGATATGTCCTTTGTATGCTGATTTTGGTGAGAGTTTTAATCATAAAAAGATGCTGGATTTTGTTGAATGTTTTTTCTGCATCTATTGAGATGCTTATGTGATTTTTGTTTTTAATTCTGTTTATGTGGTCTATCACATTATTGACTTGCGTATGTTAAAGCATCCCTGCATCCCTAGTATGAAACCCACTTAATCATGGTGGAGTATCTTTTTGATATGTTTTTGGATACAGTTAGCTAGTATTTTGTTAAGGATTTTAGCATCTATGTTCATCAAGGATATCAGTCTGTAGTTTTCTCTTTTGGTATATCCTTTCTTGGTTTTGGTATTAAGCCTATGCTGGCTTCATAGAATGAATTAGGGAGGGTTCCTTCTTTCTCTGTCTTGTGGCATAGTGTCAAAAGCATTGGTACCAATTCTTTGAATGTCTGGTAGAATTCTGCTGTGAATCCATGTGGTCCTGGACATTTGTTTTATTGGTAATTTTTTAACTACCATTTCAATCTAACTGCTTGTTAATGGTCTGTTCAGAGTATCTATTTTTTCCTGATTTAGGCTAGGAGGGTTGGACTTTTCCAGGAATTTAGACACCTCTTCTAGGTTTTCTAGTTTATGTGCATAAAGATGTTCATAGTAGCCTTGAGTGATCTTTTGTATTTCAGTGGGGTCAGTAGCAACATCTCCTGTTTTGTTTCTTAGTGGTTATTTGGATCTTCTCTCTTCTTTTCTTGATTAATCTTGCTAATGTTCTATCAATTTTATTTTTCTTTTTGAAGAACTTGCTTTTCATTTTATTTCTCTTTTGTATTGTTTCTTTTGTTTCATTTTCATTTAGTTCCACTCTGATCTTGGTTATTTCTCTTCTGCTGCTGTATTTGGGTTTTTTATAGGTTACCTGTTGCTTCAGTCTCCCAGCTCTTAAGACTCTTTTCTTCATCCTAACTTTGGACAGCCTGATGACAATGTGCCTAGACAGTGATCTTCTTGTCATGAATTTCCCACATGCTTTTTTGTGCTTCCTGTATACGGATGTCTAGGTTTCTAGCAAGCCCAGGGAAATTTTCCTTGATTATCCCCCAAAATATGTTTTCCAAGCTTTTAGAATGCCCTTCCTCCTCAGGAACACTGATTATTCTTAGGTTAGGCCATTTAACGTAATCCCAGACTTCTTGCAGGCTGTGATCATATTTTTTTATTATTTTTTCTTTGTCTTTGTTGGATTGGATTAATTCGCAAACCTTGTATTCAAGCTCTGAATTTCTTTCTTCCACTTGTTCAATTCTATTGCTGAGACTTTCCCGAGCATTTTGCATTTCTAAAAGTGTGTCCAAAATTTATTGAATTTCTGATTGTTTTTTCTTTAAGCTACCTATCTCCTTGAATATTTCTCCCTTCACTTCTTGTATCGTTATTTGGATTTCCTTCCATTGTTCTTCGCCTTTCTTTGGTGCCTCCCTGACTAGTTTATTAACTAACCTCCTGAATTCTTTTTCAGGTAAATCAGTGATTTCTTCTGGGTTTGAATCCATTGCTTTTGAGCTAGTTTGATTTTGGGGGGCTGTTGAAGAGCCTTGTTTTGTTATATTACCAGGGTTAGTTTTCTGGTTGCTTCTGATTTGGGTAGGCTCTGTCAGAGGAAAGGTGTAGGGCTGAAGGTTGTTGTTCAGATTATTTTGTCCCATGGGGTGTGCCCTTGATGAAGTACTCTCCCCCTTTTCCTATGGATGTAGCTTCCTGTGTGCCTAGACTGCAGTGATTGTTGTCTCTCTTCTGGGTGTAGTCACCCAGTGAGTCTACCTAGCTCCAGGCTGGTACCAGGGGTTGTCTGCATAGAGTCCTGTGATGTGAACTGTTTATGGCCCTCTCAGCTGTGGATACCAGGGTCTATTCAGGTGGAGGTGTCAGGGGGGTGCAATGGACTCCATGAGGATTCTTAGCTTTGGTGGTTTAATGCTCTGTTTTTGTGCTGGTTCGCCTCCTGCCAGGACTTTGTGCTTTCCAGGGATCATCAGCTGTAGTAGTATGGAGAGGGACTGGTGGCGGACAGGGCCCTAGAACTCCCGAGGTTATATGCCCTTTGTCTTTTGCTACCAGGGTGGGTAGCAAAGAATCATCAGGTGGGGGCAGGGCTAGGTGTGTCTGTGCTCAGAATTTCCTTGGGTGGGTCTTGCTGTGGCTGCTGTGAGGGAAGAAGGTGAGATTCCCAGGTCACTGGGGTTGTGTACCTAGGTGCATATGGCTACTTCTACTGAGTCATGCTGGTTGTCAGGGAAGTGAGGGAAGGCAAGCAGTCACAGACCTCACCCACCTTCCATGCAAACTGAAGGGCCAGTTGCACTCCCACTGTGCCCCAATCAACAGCCCCCAGTGTGTTTCCAGGGAAAGGGCAAGATGGGCTTGACTTGCTCCAGGCTATCCGCCTCCCAGCTGCGAAAGAAAAGGGCTTGGTTCTTCCCCTTCCTGTGGAGTCTGCACCCCAGATTTGCGCCCTCCACTGAGTTCTGGCCAGGAGGCTTCTTGCCCATTCAAATTGTTACGAAGTTCAGCTAGAGATTTTCTCCTCCCTGTGGAGTTTTACCCGTTGCTCCTCTGGCTGCCCTTCCGATGGAACCCTGTTGTGCCAGATAGGAATGGGCTGTGAGGGGACCCAGTGAGCTCCCAGGGCCTTTTTGCTGTTTTCTTTACCTCTGTATTTTGCTTGGCTCTCTAAATTGACTCAGCTCCAGATAAAGTCATAAATTTCTCCCGCAAACAGGCCTTTAGGTTCTCCAGTGGGGGTGTGTGCTTGGGAAAGGAGGATTCTCTCTACTTCCGCAGTTGGGGCACTCACAGTATTTGGGGTGTCTCCAGGGTCCTGCAGAAGCCGCCCACTTCCTTCAGAGGGTCTGTGGGTCCTCTCAGGATTGCCAGTTTATTCTTGCAGTTGATCCGGATTTAAAATTCACAGTATGAGCATCAGCTCGCTGCTCTGTCTGAAGCTGCAATCTAGCCCTGCCTCTTATTTGCCATGATGATCTCAGGCCTAATTATTATTACATTGCTACTACACAGCTTAAACTTATCTTGACATGAAAGGCACCTGCAAGTATTTTTTTAGTGTTAAAACATGACACTTTTTATTATAGAGTACATGCTAATAGCTCACTTAAAATAAATAAATAAAGTGCCATTAAAATAAGGAAATTCAAGTGACATCAACAATGTGATAAAAGTAAAGAATGATATAAGACTAAATGTACACATGAACTTAGGGAGTATTAAATGACAGAAACCCCTACAAAATAAAATTTTGATTTCTTGAGAACTTAACTTTCAAAGAAATTTCAACATTTTAGCCTACTTGGAACAAATGCTACTTTTAAGTTTGGAAAAGAACTGTGGTACTTTATTGTTCGGATATGCTTTTATATGTTTAGCAACTCTAATGAAAAATGAAGTTTTGTTGTTTTACCAAATAGGAAAGAAAAATTAGACCAATAGTGCCAATTGCTATTCTGACATTTATAATACTTGTGGTCACTTCTGTTCTTAAAATCTGCAGTACTTCTGACTGTCATTAAATTAACGAACCTCTTCCTTCCTTCATCCAGCTTTAGTTTTAGATATATTTCCATGCTTCTAAAAGGTAATTTATTTTCCACTTGTAAACAACCTGCTTGTAAGCCCTACATGTGTAGGAAGCTGGA
The DNA here is from genome assembly GCF_000001405.40 of Homo sapiens. Taxonomy (NCBI): domain Eukaryota; kingdom Metazoa; phylum Chordata; class Mammalia; order Primates; family Hominidae; genus Homo; species Homo sapiens. Next base: position 104,271,170 of record NC_000003.12, read on the forward strand.
TAAAGTGAAGAACAAGTTCATCCCCCCAGAGGTATAAATTAAAATAAGATAATGCAAATTTGAAAATATTTATTTCATGGGGTGCATTTGATAGAATCACAATTAACCTGGCTTTTTATTATGTATTACTTTTGAATGTCAACATAAATAACAAACAGAGAAAGGCTCTCTAAAAACATTCAGTTTAATCAAAAATAGCAGGGCATTGCAATGCAAATATGCATGCCATGGCAACCATGGGTACATTCAGGGATGCAGAAAAAACATGGGGTTTGTAAAGGTAAAATGAAGAGGATTACATAAATAGTTTAAAAATATTAATCCTTGGCTACAAGGATCAATAAATAATAAGAGTGAGATCATCCCATGGCTAAATAGGCAGTTGCTGGACAGATGTCCTCACAGAAATACTTTTTTCTGTGTGCAAGATTGCAGTGGTTCTGCCAATATCTCTTGTGATAGTGTTTATCAGGCAAATATGCATGAGACCGCTCCCTTCCAAGCCTTCCTTGGCTCTATTTTGTGAGGGTTTGACAAAAGTGACTCCATTTTGGACCTGACAACTTTTGATCCAAAGCCTTCTGATAAGTATCACTGATTAATCATTATGCGCTTAGGTTTTGATTGTCCTTTGTCTCATCCCACATTGGAAGAAAGAGATTGGTGACAAGTAGTCAGTGTGAAAACCATTTTAGCTACATTTCAGCAACAAAAGAGGGTTAGAAGGAGTAGCCTCGGGCTAAGACTGCCCAAAGTTTATTAATTTGGTCCATTCTCAGGCTGTCATCTCAAAGCACTAGGCCAACATTATTCTGTTAGGAGTTGTATTTCTGCAGAATTTTGAAAGGTAAAGGGTACAAATTTTTAAAAGAATATACAGAGTAAAATTGATAGTAATATTGCAGCCCCAATTGCCACAGAAGTTTTGAGACATAAACCTAGGCTTAAAGTCAACCAACTGAATAAATTATATGACCATGGAGAAGTAGGTAAGACCTGCTGTAAACATAAAGTCTGTCTTTGCATTTTGTGTATTCGGGTCTTGATTTCTCCAGATAAATGTATAAAGGTACAGCATGTAGTTTTACCCATAGCACAGGTAACATCTTGCTAATAGATATTCAGGAGCAATTCAGATATCTAGGACTAGCTTACCATGAAAAGTTAATGAATGTTGTTGAGCACTTATAGCTTTTGCAGTGGGGTCTGCAAGAATTCCTAGGGAAACAGATATATTTGAATCAATTCTACATTAGTAACTACGCTTTACTTCAGCACAAAGGCCCAAACCAAAGTTTGGAATCCCATATTTCACCAGCTGATAACTCAGGTTGACACTTTGATCTAGTAAGAGGGGGCTCTTCCAATAATTACTCCAGTGATCAGTTTTAGACCTATTATGTATAGACAACAAAGTATTTAAATATCCTAGTTCACATTGGCCTTCCATTGTGCATGTGTAGAGCATTTGGAGGCTCATAATGAAGTATCCTACACACAAAAGTAAATATACCCAATAGAAACACAGACAATTCTTTCAACTAAGAATTTTTTGTATATATACAAAATATATACCAGGAATCAGTTATATTGGTACATAATGTTAATATTCCTTGCTCTCAAAATTAAGCCATATATCTATATATATATATATTCATATATATAAATATATATATATATATATGTTTGTGTGTGTGTGTGTGTTAGGGGGATCCAAGGAATGGTTGAAAATAAATGACTCTTTGAATATGGATAGGATTATACTAGTAGAACATTCATTAGAGTAGGTAAGGCAGGAGACAGAAGGTGAAAGTAGGGTTTCTCCTGGGTCAATCTAAGGGTCCTTGGAAGAATGATGTGTCCATGTGTGGCTCTGCTCACAGCACTGTTTGGAGCTTGATTGCTTCTAGGTGAAAAGAGATACATTTTACAAGAAGGTAAAATATAGGGTTAGAATATGAGCGTTAAGATTACCACTGTTAGTGAGGGTCCTATAGACCATAACTGACAGTAGAGTTTGATAGCTGCTAGTTATACCAATGGATTGCAATACCAGTTTGCCTCCACTAGATGTTGCTGTACATTACCGGAAACATTTATATAAAAGCAACATTCCTTTTAGGAAAAGTGGCATTGGATTTTGGAGGCTAGAGTAACTTCAGTATTAGCCTTGGCTAGATTTTTTCCTGCAATTATCAATCGCTTTATGATTCCACAGAAATTCTCTTTCCTTTATAACCTTCTTTGCATAGCCAAGGTTTGACATATTACCAAACCCAATATAGAATAGAATAGAATAGAATAGAGTAGAATAGAATAGAAAAAAATAGAATAAAGAAGTTTTAGCAAATTCAATGATAATAAAACTTTTGTGCTTCCTTTTTGTTGGTAGCTATTATCCCTGATATAAGGATAATAATTACACAAAATATTACAGCAATGGAAACTCTCTATCCAATATTTCCGTTAGAAGGTGCTACCATGTATAGCTCTACTACAAATAGTAGAGTGAGTATAATAATTCCTGCAAGTGTGGTGTAGTAGATAATTTCCATCTAAAATTTTACTTGCTAAGATATAGAATTTCCTTTTGGGGCATCTATGAAATTTCTTGGTTTTATTTCCCTCAACAAAGAAACCTCTGGGTTATGGTCATCCTACTCACTTTCATTACCTGGCAGAATTACAGCATAATTGCCCAGAACTAGCATATTGATCCAGATTTTTACATGACCCATCCTTTTGTGTTTTTTCCAAGCTGCAGGATATCACCACTTGATTCACAGGTAGAAGCAGGGTTAGTCTAAAATGTAGGCAAAAAGCTCAAAAACAATTAGAGACTAGAATTTATTGACAAATATATGATAAGCTTTGGAGCATAATTTGTCTAGTCCTCATTTTTGGTAAAATCAAATTATGATAGGACCATGTTGTTCCTAGAATAAATTTTAGCCTTGTACTTGGCCTGATTATTTGCATAAGGTGCAGCAAGAATGGTTATTTCTACATAGGCCTTTTGGATTGGCTTTGATAAAACTCTATTTCACAAGGAATCTCATTTAAGACCTTTTAAAGCCGAGCCCAGCCATGGGTTTTTATCTTCAAGTATCTGTGAGGTGGGTGATCCTTTTCTCTTAAGATCCCAAGATAAACTTGGAGCTCCTGGACTTGTTAGAAGGTGATATTCTTTACTGAACAGGGACTAAGAACCCTGTGCAGGGACTGTGTAGACAAGATATGAGGTCAGTTCTCTCCAAGAGACTTTTATTGGCTCTGCACATCAAGCTTGATTCCGTAAGTGGAGACCCACCCTTCCATTCAAAGCCTTGGTAAAATAAACAGTTTTTCCAATTGTGTCCTGTTGAGAAAAAATAGATTCTTATTGCACTGATGCAAACTATTATATTGCAATAAGTTAAGAGTACTCACAGATAGTTTCCAAATTCTCCAAGAACCGGGAAGAAAGGAACAAACATGCTCCAGATTTTGTTAACAGTAGTACACCTTACTCAATTATTAAAGACTATAAATAGTTCAAAATGAGTTTCCTTAACTGAAAAATAAAATAAGGATCAGCAGTATTCCAACTAAAAGTAAAAAAGGTTGCATTAACTTTCTGAATGCAGTCCATTTAGTTACCTCTTGTTTTGCTTGACATTCATGAACATTTCAGTTCTTCGTGAGTCTTGTACATTCTTTCTCTATACCAATGTTACAATCTTCAAAGCTATTAAAAACCTGCATTTGAGAACACCTGTTAAAGTTCTATAGCTTGATTATAAACCATCTTTTGAGAAGGAACAAAGCAAGACAATTGTCTGTGAATCACAAAATTTCCATGGTAGTTATAATTAAAATATGACTGACAAAGAAGTTTAGTTATCTCCATGGTTTACAATAACTTTAACCTTAATTATGATTGATAGCATTTACTTAGACATTAGAATATTAGTAATCCCATACAATTTTGAAACATATATTTGTATTATTCACCAATATATAACCTAAAGAAGATTGGACATCATTTTGGCAATCTCATGTGACTAAACATGTCAAATAATCCTGTTTACCACTTCTCTGGATATTTCAGGGGCCCTCTGAACAATCCAGAAAGATAGACATTAGGAAAGACAATTTTGAAACTTGAAGTTTGATTTTGGGAAGCCCATTAAATGTTAGAGGTTTAAAACACTTGGTGTTATGAAATAGAATTGCATATTATCATAAATTATTTACTTTGTAGAAATTATGATTCAAAAAGCAAAAAATCCTTTTATTACCCTTTACTATTGCATGAAAATCCTGTTCAAAGCCAAATTTTATACTTGTATTAGTTTATTAATATTAACCCTCATTCTTAAATAAAATCTCATAGACAATTCCATCTAATCTTAACCAATTTGACCATGAGGTGAAATCTTTACAAGCCCTTAGTAACCCCTTTTGCTAAAGGACAGATTAGTGTATTAAGACAGCCTTGTTGTGCTTTTATTTATGTTCAGTTTATGAAAAGACTATGTAATACCCTTTTGAATTTAGTTAATGGTTACACATTTTTTGCAAGATTAATTTTTACAATCTTTTCACAATTTACTTAAACTTTAAGCTGTACCTTATTAAATTTAAGATAGTCCCTTATAACTGGGCAAAATTTACATTTCCATGCTTTCTTATAATCTTTTACTAAGAAGCACATGTTACTGTTTTTATATGTCTTGCATGTAAAACTGTTTAATGATCTCAAATACATGTTGCACTGTTAACTCTTAGCAACTTTTGCTTTTGGTGAGAAACCTGGTTAGTAAGTGATTTTAATTATGCACCAGCTTAAAGATTAAAGTCACATGAACTAAAAAATGTTTGATTTAAATGCTTATTTTTAAGGCAATTAATTTGAGCTCTTTTATAGACATTACAGATAACACATATATACCAACACAAACACAAACAGACAGAAGATTCAGCACTTGTAAGATTTTTCATTTACTACTTTCTTAATTGGTACTGGCTTCAGGGTGGAGCCTTTGGAGAAATAGGGCCAGGGAGCATGCATTTTAGGGCCTAATAAGCATAGACAGCTGAAGGCAAAGACAGATCCCTAAAAGTAAGGGTGAAAATTTATATTGGATTTTGGATCCCCAAAAGGAGGGAGAAAGTATGGGAGAATACAGTGTAGTGCTTCTGCCATGCATTTCATTACAAGGCAACCCGAAGCCAATCTGCTTATTTTGTTATCAGCCCATCCCCCATGGTAGTCTCATCTCTCAGTGTGGGTTGAGTATGTGTCCATATGTTTCTGGTGACCAAGAGCATGCTTCTCTGATTTATAACCACTCTTAGCCATCCCTTAAAGTGTATTTTCTACCAGTTATTACATATCAAAGTTCTCTCCTAGTGTGAAGTAATTTGATACCCTCAAAACTAAAAACTGTCAGATAATGCAAAACAGAACAGAGCCTTTAATTTTGAGAAAGACCTATCTGCTTTTAATTCCTTGGGTTTCCTGGGGGAAAACAGAGGGCTTTTGTTTTGTTTTGTTTCAAAACTAGGTCTGTGGTGCCTTCTCTGTTTTTTACAAGGAGTCCCAGGTTACCAGAAGTTATCTTAAAGCCTCTCGTCTGTGCATTAAGAGTGAAAAGACAAAAAATGGAGAAAATAATTCAGTCAACTGAGAAGAAAAAAAACTTTGTCCAAAAAAACAGGATCCAAGGAGAGAAAAACATGAAGGTCTTTTAAATACACCTATAACTAGAATATCCACTTTTAGTTAAGCTGAGCACTATTTAAGAAAATCCTTTTAAATCCCCTGTTACTCAACTTTAACCAGGCCAAGTAGTTAAGATATTTGGATTTTGAAATTTACAAAAAGTAACCTCACAAGTGAAACCAACAAACCTTGATTAGGTTATGACTTAACCATGAGTGTGCGAGGTATTTTCAAAGGGGTGATGTGCAGCATTTGAAATCATCACTACAAAATTGTGATGGAGATAGTGAAAGACATCCAACCTAAGCAACTCCATTTTGTTTCCAGCTCCCAAGATGTCCTTGCCTATCCCTGGGCATAGGCTGAACCAACTTTGGGAGGAGCCTGGTTTACAGTTCATAGTCTAAAACAAAGATGATAACAGCCCCTTCTTAAGATATACTTCCTTCTTGCCCAGGGACCAGATCAAGAAACTAGCCACAAGATTAAAAACCATGGCCCAGGAGCCACGCTGATGGAGGCTACAAGACTCTGATCCTCCCTCAACTGCTCTCAAGGTCAGTGCTTAAGATATTTTGTAAGCCCTATGCTTGATGGATTAGCTTGCACCACCCAGATTGATAAATTGGCTTATCTGATTTTGTGGCCCTCATCCAGAAACTAACTTAGCACAATAAGACAGCCAACATTTTAAAATGGTAGAAGCTAAAACAAAGTATTGCCACGTGGTTACAGGTCATGTTCCCAAGGACATGAAACAAGATGGAAGCCTGTGGCCAAGTTCATTATTATCATTTTGTTGGGCTGATTTGAACAGCAGGCGTATGAGGTCCGGGGCTTGCATCCTAACCTAAGATACCCTTTCTTTTGACAAAACCATACAGAAAGACACACAAAGCACACCAGATTGGCTACATCTTAAGACCAACCTCAGAAATCCTTTTTCATTAATTAAAACTTTACAGACAATAAACAATGATCCTCATTATCCCTTTTACTGGTTTGCACAGTGAGTGAGAAGCCAAAAGCCTGACTTTTAAGAAGTTTTTACCCTTTTGCTGGCATGTCAGGCTTTTGGGTTCCCTTCCTCCAGCTCAACTCTAAGCCAAGCATTTTAAGGTTTGGAAAATTAAACTTTCCCAGATTGGAAGAACATTATAAAAGAACCATTTAAACTGTGTAAGAAGGAAAAACACCAAGGACCTCAGTTAAATTGTGGAAACTTTCTAGATACCTATCAGGGTCATCAGAAAATCAGCCTAAGTCTCCTTTTATTTGCCTAAGTTCCTGTAATGAGAAGGGAACTTGAAGGGGCTCCAAAAAAAGGGTGTTCCTTACCTGGTTCCTCAGATTGTTAGAGTTGCTTCTCTAATTTTGGGGAGCCATTCTGTTTGGGCCTGCCCAAAATGATTACTATACAAAGCTGGGTTGATTGATCTTACATTAGCAAAGATTTAGTAAAAATGTCATGCCCTTGTGCAAAAGAAAGTGAGTGTTTTTTTCTTCAAAGTCCTGAGATTAAGAAAGTTCCAGTGTTTCAGAGTGCACTCCAGAGGGGTGCAAGCTGAAGATAATCTGTTACCCATCTAGAAATAGAAGTGAGAGAAATCGTCCCTTTGGTCTCCTTCCCTTCCACATGTGACCCAGGGTGGAGAAGAAAACAGTGATGGTGTCCCCCCGGCCATTTTTCCACCCTGGTTCCTGGGTCTTGGGACCCTGTTAAATGTGCTGCCCATCGTTGTAGGCATGACCCTCCAAGTCATGGAACCAAGAAATTAGACTTCTGGGCATAGTCACACTTACCCAAGTAGCCCTAGTCCTCTGTCTATTATCTCCCTTTGACTTTGTAGACTTGTGTGACCTGTGTGCCTCCCTCTCCCCCCAAAAAAAACAAAAAAAATAAAGGATCTTGGGAAAGACTATATAAAAGGCAAGACTCCTTTAATGGAGGGGATATGCTAGATTGCCTCCCATTATGGCCCATGCCAAAGTGTTTAAACTTAGAAAAATGGTTCCAGTTTACTTCTGGGCTTAAAAATCCCCTTACTAATTAGTAAGGGGAGACAGAATAGGTGCCTTAAAGGGATGCGGGGACCTAATGTTGATTTTCTTGCTGATGGGACAGTATCGGGACTAAAATTTGGCTGTGAAGGACATTTTAATTCTAATAATTGAAAGCAGAGTGTTTCCATTCACAAAAGTAGCATAAAACCTAGTTTTCAGTAGATAAGCGCAAAAACGGAAAATTGTGTATGTGTAATGTACCACAGAGAACCAACAATGTGTCCTATGAGGAGTATTTCTATTTTCATTAGGTGGCCCTGTTGACCTTAAAACACCATGTGTTCTCTAGACAGAGTGACCTTGACATGCCATGTGCTCTCCAGGCCAAGGGCAGAGAGAGACCTGGAAATGTCATGTGCTGTCCAGACCAAGGGCAGAGAGAAACATGGCAATACCATGTATTCTCTAGACTGAGAGAGAGAGAGAGAGAGACAGAGAGAGAGAGAGAGACTGTTGAGGGGGTGAGGGTGGCAGAAATCCTGTTCCTAGAAAATCACAAAGATGCCTTCCCTTGAGCTATATCCTGGGTTACTATGATAATCCCTGATCTTGTCAAATAGGATTACTTCCCTAGGCTATAAAAACTCCCACACATTCAATGCACAGAGAGAGTAAGAGACCGTGGATAGAAAAATAAGGAAAATTTTGTGACAGGATAGCTGAGGATTCTTTAACAACACCCAGAGTGGGCTGTTGGAGGCTGAGTCCAGTCCAGAAACCTCTGAATAACACCAGAGCATGCCCTGGCCAGAAATTCTCATTTGCCTTAGAACATTTCCCAGCCTAACTTGATGGCTAAGTTTTATCCATGAAAAGAGACCTGTTAGGACAGAGCCAACATTCATTCCTAGCACCCTGAAGGCACTATGGCATTGACTAAGTCTTCCTCAGCAAGCCTTACATCTGAATCTTTAAGACCAGTGGCTAGCGTTTGTGACTCATTAATCAGCTGACAAATGCCAGGATTTTTGATAGTTCTTTGAGAGAATAAACCTGAGGATGAGAAGCCTTGGAAATGAAAGTGAAAGTAGAGTCTTTTCAAGCTGATTTTCTGTTAGAAAAGAAATGTTTCAAGAGCTGTTTTTATTAAAAGAAAAAGCCTTACCAAGGAGTCTTTTTACCCTCTCTGTCTGCCTAAAACAATTTCTTAATAACTCCTTTAATGAGCTTTTCTTTCCAGGTTGGAAGGAATCCTTTTGTAAATGTGTTCTTTAGTAGACAAAATATCCTCATTGCTGCTTATAGTGTTTTAAGTTTTCATTTCCCAAATGAAGACTTATGATTGTTCGTTGCTCTTAAAATTATCATAAGTTAGTATTCAGAAGTGCTTGTTAGAGTATTCTACATAAATCTGCAGAATTACAAAAAAATGAAAGCAATAAGTGTGAATGACAAAGATTAAAAATCTGATGATGAGAGCTCACCATAATCAAAAATCAACAAGAACTTTGGTTATCTCTGTGGCATACAACATTTTAACATAACAATCTAAATTATTACTAATACCATATTAAATTATTGGGAATTTTACACAATTTTGGAAAATTCATGTTAGTATAATACTCATAAATATAACTTAAAACAAATCTAACATCCCTTACTCTTTACCAAGACTTCTCATATAATTCAATATACCAAGTGAGCCTAATTAGTTTAATATATCCCTTTCATAGATCCTTTGAGAAGTTTCAGAGCCGTCTGAAACTTTCCAAAGTGAGTTCAAAGACAAAACGACTTGTTTCAGAATTTGATTTTAAAGAAATTTGTAAAAGACATCAAAAATTTTAAAGCTCTTAATCAAAATAAGACCACAGGTGATCATGAAACAACAGTCATTTATTTCACCAGGGTGATAACTAAAAGACTTTAAAAGAAATTAGAGAAAGTTACATAGTTTAGGGGGAAAAAAAAACAAGCAAGCCTTAGACCTTTAACAGAGATCACTCAGTTTTACCACTTAATCAAAGGCCCTGATAAAAAAAAAAAAAAAAAAAAACAGGAAAAAGAAAATCATTTTGATAAGATGCAAGTCAGTTTTCCTAGGAAAACTTTTAAAATATAAAGAAAAACCTCCTGCAGTGTGATTGCTTCTCTTATGGGAAGCCCATTTAGAGAACCTGAAGTCAAGCCTGATGAAAAGTTACTTTAATTTAGTCAGAAATTGGAATAATGTGTATCTAAGGTTATGAGCACACACCATATTATAGAAGAATGTGCCACATTACAGAAGAACGTACCATATTATAGAAAAACATAAACAAGACAATTAGTACCTTGAGTAGGGGAATACACAGCTCTTAGAAAAAGTAAAAGCACATAAAATTTCCTGGTTACATGGAATAATTAAGACACATCAAGAAACCCAAGGGTATAGAATCAAGTTATATTGGAGGAAAATATTGCCCTCCTAGGCCTTTAAGGCAAACATTCTTCAGCATCAGGCCACAATAGCAGACTTAGAACTGGAAATAGGAGAATAAAAAGCTATAAGTGCCAAGACCAGCTCAATTGTGGACACAGCAGGACTACAGGAATTAAGACACACACACAGAAATATAGAGTGTGGAGTGGGAAATCAGGGGTCTCACAGCCTTCAGAGCTGAGAACCTCAAACAGAGAATTACCCACATATTTATTGACAGCAAGCCAGTGATAAACATTGTTTCTATAGATTATAGATTAACTAAAAGTATTCCTTATGGGAAACAAAGGGATAGGCCGAAAAAAAGAAATTAGCTCCCACTAATTATCTGCAGTGGAAACATGTCCTTAAGGCACAGATGGCTCATGCTATTGTTTGTGGTTCTGGAACACCTTTAAGTGGTTTTCCACCCTGGGTGGTCCAGGTATTCCTTGCCCTCATTCTGGTGAACCCAGAACCTTCAGCGTGGGCATCATGGCCATCACGAACATGGCACAGTGCTGCAGAGGTTTTGTTTATGGTCAGTTTTGGGGTCAGTTTATGGCCAGATTTCAGGGCCTGTTCCCAACATGTCCCCCTTCTTTTTCTTTTTTTTCAGTGCAATAAAAGCAAAGGCGGCTTTGTCACAGTGAGCTACTTCTTGCAGGAGTCAGGATCTGCATCTGCAGACTATACAAAAACAAATGACACAGATTAATAACACACAATCATCATTGAAATCACAGAGCTTCCAACTGTTTTTATCCATTTCAATGGATAAAAACAGTTGGAAGCTTCGAGCTTCGAGCACTCCAGTTCCTGGTATTAAGGTCAGGTGTGCCTGGGATGCTTTAAATATTTGTTCTTTTAATTTTGCAATATCCAAAGACAAGTTTGTACAGTGTCCTTCTAGATGCTTTTTTATTCTTTCCTAAATTTTGATCTTATTAAGAGCCATTAATATTTTCCACAAATCCTTATGTTTAGCTCCTAGAGTGGGCCATATCATTTGAGGTTGAGGTGCCACTATACCACCATGTTTCCAGATAATCGGAACTCTTGTCATATTTCTTACCATTTCTACCATCTGACCATTTTGTTCAGACCAGCTGAACATAGTGTGGCCATGGCATGCAGACTGAGGGGTGCAGTTTAAGCTAAACATCCCCTTAGGGGACCAATCAATAATGATTCCATAGGAATTGTTGCACAGCACCTTGGCCTATTCTGCAATGCAATCTTCCCAAACAAGTAATTTCATTATTTCTGGCCAGGTCCAATTCTGTTTACAAATAGGTTTTTGAGTGTGGTATGCCTCAATTATAGGAGCAGATTCATTATGGTAAATACTGAGATCAGAAAGCATGTGTAACTGTGTCATAGAGTGATTACATCCAGGCATTATTGCTAGCCAAGATTGATAAAAATGCCCAATAAGTATAATTGTTCTCTATGTCAGCCCTTGTTGAAGGAATACTCATGGCAAAGGTGATCACCACTATCATAGCTATCATTAAATTACTCACTGTGACTGGTTGTCCTGCTTTCCTCAGGTTTTCTTCTGCCATCTATGACAGCTTCTTGATCTGTCCCCAGGTGGGTGGCTGTGTTTGACAGGTGTTGCTCATGACAGTTGGGGTCCTCCTCAGCATCAGTCTCGACATGACTGCAACTGGTGGGTCCTCAGGATCCTCCCGGAATCTCTTCTTTGGCATCTGGCTCATGATAAGGTTTCAGGTGTCTTGATGGTATCCAAATTGGCTGCTTGTTTTGGCCTGGAGAAACGCAAGCATAACCTCTACCCAAAATTATTTTACCTATTTCCCAACTTTTTGTTATTGGATCTCTCCACCAAACCAGTTGTTCTGCTTCTGTCTTTGCAGCTGGTTTCTGTAGATGCTGTTCAGCTGCTGATAACATCTGGTCTTTAGGCAGGCTCAAAAAATTTAAAGTTAATAATGCTAGATTCAGTGGTGTCTGGGGTGTCCCGTAGTCCCTGTTTCTCTCCTTTTGCTTTTGCAACTGCCGTTTCATGGAGAGATGCATTCTTTCTACTATAGCTTGTCCTTGAGACTTATATGGGATGCCAGTAATGTGTTAATATTCCATATAGAGAAAAATGTAGCTAGAGCTTGGCTAGTATAGCCTAGGGCATTATCTGTTTTAATAGAAGCTGGAATGCCCATCACCACAAAACACTGCAAAAGGTGATGTTTAACACAGGCAGAAGACTCTCCTGATTGGCATGTAGTCCAGAAAAAGTGAGAAAAGTTGTCCACACATACATGTACATAAGCTAGTCTCCCATATGAGGGAACGTGTGTGACAGCCATTTGCCAAAGAGAATTAGGTTCCAATCCTTGAGGATTAACTCTTCCTGTAAAAGATAAGGAATGCACCATTTGCCAAGTTGGGCATCCCTGGATAATAGCTTTAGCTTCTTTCCAGGTAATGCTGTATCTGCATTTGAGACCAGAGGCATTAACATGGGTTACATTGTGAAAATGTCTAGCGCTAGATATTACAGTAGCAACTAGGCAATCAGCCATTTGATTCCCTGCAGTCAAAGGTCCTGGAAGAGGTGTATGAGCCCTAATGTGAGTGATGTAAAAAGGGTGCATTCTACTCCTGACTGCTGTTTGCAATTGGGTAAATAAAGTCATCAGTTGTTCATCTGTATGAAATCATAACTGAGCATTTTCAATTAATTGTGTGGAATGAACCACATATGAAGAATCAGAAATCATATTAATAGGCATTTTATAAGCATTCAATACGTCAATTACAGCTACAAGCTCTGCTTTTTGAGCTGAAGTATAGGGCATCTGAAAAATTTTACCTTTTGATCCAGAATAAGAAGCTTTACCATTACTAGACCCATCTGTAAAAACATTCTCAGCACCTTCAATTGGTTTAAATTTAGTTATTCTAGGGAGGATCCAATTAGTTAATTTCAAATATTGAAACAGTTTTAAGAAAATGATTATCGAGAATACCCACAAAGTCAGCTAAATGGGTTTGCCAAGTAAGACTATTTATAAAAGCTTGCTGTATTTGTGCCTTTGTGAGAGGGACAGTAATTTTTCCAGGATCATATTCATGTAATTTAACAATCTGAGTTCTCCCATTTCCTATCATAGTAGCGATTTGATCCAAATAAGGAGTTAGAGTCCGTGGATTAGTATGTGGAAGAAAAAGCCCCTCTACAAGATCTTGCTCTTTTACAGTTACACCAGTAGGTGAATGCTAAGTTGGAAAAATTAGCAAATCTAGAGTCTTCTCTGGATCTATTCTATTTATTTGGGCTCTATGGACTTGCTTTTCAATCAGCTGTAACTCTGCCTCAGCCTCCTTTGTTAATTATCGAGGGCTAGTGAGACTAGGATCTCCTCTAAGAATAGAAAATAGATTACTCATGGCATAGGTAGGAATGCCTAGAGCAGATCATTTCCAATTAATGTCCCCTAGCAATTTTTGAAAGTCATTTAATGTTTTTAGTTGATCCCTACGTATGGTTACTTTCTGTGGCACAATGGTAGTGTCATTTAATAAGGTCCCCAAGTAGGAGTAAGGAGTAGTAGTCTGAATTTTGTCAGGAGCTATAATTAAACCAGCACGAGAAATCAAATTTTGCATGTGATCATAACATTGGGGTAATATTTCTCAAGTGAGGGCAGCACAAAATATATTGTCCATGTAATGAATAATGTAACACTGTGAAAATTTTTTATGAGTAGGTTCAATTGCTTGCCCTACATAAGTCTGGCAAATTGCTGGACTGTTTAACATGCCTTGTGGCAACACTTTCCAGTGAAAACATTTAGCAGGCTGCAGGTTTTTTACTGCAGGAATTATAAATTCAAACTGTTCACAGTCTTGCTCAGCTAAGGGGATAGTAAAGAAACAGTCTTTTAAATCTATGACTATTAAAGGCCGATTTTTTGGAATCATAGCAGGAGAAGGCAATCTTGGCTGTAATGTCCCCATAGGTTGTATAACTAAATGAATGGCTCTTAAGTCAGTTAGCATTCTCCATTTACCTGATTTTTTCTTAATAACAAAGACTGGAGAATTCCAGGGGGGAAATGTTGGAGCTATGTGTCCTTTTTCTAATTGTTCAGTAACTAAGTCCTCTAAAGCCTCCAGTTTCTCTTTACTTAGCAGCCATTGTTCTATCCAAATTGGCTTATCTGTTAACCATTTTAAAGGTATAGGTTCTGGAGGCTTAACAATGGCCACCATCAAAAGTGATATCCTAAACCTTGGTGGGAACTTTGTCTTCCTGCTTCAAGCGGTTCCTTCAAACCTTGCAAGTTTTTTCCTAGTCCCATACCAGGGACATACCCCATTTCATGCATCACATGTTGACTTTGAGGGCTATGTAATTGTTCTGGAATTAGAACTTGTGCTCCCCATTGTTATAATAAACCTCTTCCCCATAAATTTATAGGTACAGAAGTTACAATTGGATGAATAGTCCCAGGTTTTCCATCGGGCCCTTCACAATGCAAAATATAACTACTTTGATGTACTTCAGGGGCTTTACCAACTCCAACTGTGTTAAATTTAGTGGGTTGACTTGGCCAGGTGGACAGCCATTGCTGTAGAGAAATGGTTGAAACGTCTGCTCCTGTATCTACCAAACCTTTAAACTTCTTTCCCTGAATAGTTATTTCACAGGTAGGATCTTTATCAGTAATTTGATTTACCCAATAAGCTGCTTTGCCTTGTTTATTTGTACTTCCAAATCCTTCTGTTAGTTTAATTTCACTTTTCCCCATTTCCACATATAGCACAATCAAGAGCTGTGCTATATGGTCTCCTGGCTCTGCTTTCCATGGAACAGAAGTAGATATAACAATTTGAATTTCCCCATTGTAATCTGAATCGATGACTCCTGTTTGTACTTGCACTCCTTTTAAATTTAAACTAGATCTACCTAGAAGTAATCCTATCATCCCCACTGGCATCATCTGACTGGAGACAGCAACATTCTTTATCATTCCCATTACAAAAGGAGAACCTCATCCATATTGATTAATAGCTTGTTTAAATTCTTTGAATAATTTAAAAGGAAAAGACTCAAATGTAGCTATGATATTTCCCTGTTGATCTGAGGGGTGTATTCTAACAGGGAACTGCCAAGCCTCTAAATCACCTTCTCTTCTAGCTTACTGGATTCCTGCCTGCATAGAACTGAGAGCGGTCACTCGAGGTGCTGCTCAAACAGTCACTGGGGCAACTACTTTTCACCCAGTGTCCTCTAGAGAAGAAAGATCTAGAGTGTCAGGCCACTCTTTTTCTTCAAAATAAGGAGGGGTACAGAAGGGTATGGATGAACCTCTTCCCCCTTTGCTGCTTTAGCTTTAGCTTGCAATCAAACCTGCTCTGTTACCCCTTCTGTTCGTCCTCATCATCAGTGTGTAAAGGTTCCAGGGCGGAAGGAACCAGAGCCCACAGTTGTCCCATTGTTACCCTGATGCTTCCAAGTTCCCCTTCTACTCACCACAGGGATTGCTTAAGAGTACTTGGGTGTCCTCCAGCTTAGTTCCACATTCTCCAACCATTGCTCTGGTGACCCTTTGACCTGAGTTCAAGCCCCACATATGGGTAACACTTGTCGAGACCAGTTTAGTCATGGAGACCCTAACCAGCGGCGCTAGAGGAATTAAAGACATACACACAGAAATATAGAGTGTGGAGTGGGAAATCAAGGGTCTTACAGCCTTCAGAACTGAGAGCCCTGAACAGAGATTTACCTGCATATTTATTGATAGCAAGCCAGTGCTAAACATTGTTTCTATAGATTATAGATTAACTAAAAGTATTCCTTATGGGAAACAAAGGGATGGGCCAAAACAAAGGAATGGGTTTGGCTAATTATCTGCAGCAGGAACATGTCCTTAAGGCACAGATCGCTCATGCTATTGTTTGTGGTTCAGGAACGCCTTTAAGCAGTTTTCTGCCCTGGGTAGGCCAGGTGATCCTTGCCTTCATTCCAGTAAACCCACAACCTTCAGCATGGGTGTCTTGGCCATCATGAACATGTCACAGCGCTGCAGAGATTTTGTTTATGGCCATTTTTGGGGCCAGTTTATGGCCACACTTGGGGACCTATTCCCAACAATAAGAGCTAACTAATCCGGGAATGGTGGCTCACGCCTGTAATCCCAGCACTTTGGGAGGCCGAGGCAGGTGGATCATGAGGTCAAGAGATTGAGACCATCCTGGCCAACATGGTGAAACCGTGTCTACTAAAAATACAAAAATTAGCCGGGCGTGGTGGTGCACACCTGTAGTCCCAGCTACTTGGGAGGCTGAGGCAGGAGAATTGCTTCAATTGGGGAGGCGGAGGTTGCAGTGAGCCAAGTTCACACCACTACACTCCAGCCTGGCAATAGAGCAAGACTTCGTCAAAAAAACAAAACAAAACAAAACAAAAAGAACTAAAAATTGAGGGAAAGAGTCACCATTTTAGTTAAATAGATAAAGATATGCCATTTTTAAGAAAAAAGAAAGTAGCCAAAGGCAATGTGGAACAAATGCAACAAAAACTGAACATCTGAGATATACATCTGAAAATCTACAAGAGGAAAACTCCATTTGAGAAATAAAATTACTATTTTAAATAAAAAAAGATAGGAATTTTAACTTAGACTTAGGGAAATTTAATGAAAACTGTAAACAGAAAAAACCCACAGATCAGAATATGGAAGAAAATTTAAAGAAACAGATTTTATAATTAAACATCAAAGCCTTCTGAATTTTTTTAATTAAGAGCAAATCAATACTCCAAGAAAACCCTGTTGTTTAATACAGGGGTCAAATTTAATTTATTCTATCAGTGTACATTTTCTACTAATGCTCAATTTTAAAAAAACTTATAGTAATTCTCTTTTAATTTTAGTCAACTTCATCACACATAAATTCTGTCTTATCAGATTGATCCTTCATAAACTTTTTCCAACTTGCTTAAGCCTTCTATCACTTGCTCAAACCCTTTACAAATTGTTTAAACCTTTAGTTTTGTCCTATGTTTTTCTTTCTTATATTTAAACAATAATTCTACCTTAAGAAAAAACTTGTATTTCTTTTTTCCTTATTATTTCAACTACACAAGACTCTTCCTTATACAAAAATACAAACTCTTTCTCTTTTTAACTTTTCTTACCAAAAATACATCCTGTAACTTTCTTTGCATCTGTCTCCTACTTACTAGTTCCTTTCTGCCTTATTTTATTTCCTTTGGAAATTCACATTTTGAAAACAATCTTTAAATAACCTTCAAACTAGACAATATTATTCTTTTTCTCAACAGAAGAACACATTTTAATGCCTTATTTATAACTTTTCTCATCTAAAACACATCTTTTCTTCTTGTATAAGTTCCAAATAGAATTACACGTTAATTAGAATATCTAGCTCTTAGTAATCTTTTTAGTGAAAACCTAGAAAGGAATTTTGAACTGTTTTTTACATACAAAATATGTATGCTTTTTACGTACAAAGTATGTATGTAAAAAACAGTTCAACATTTTCTATTTTTTTTAAATTGAATGCAAATATAATGTCTTCTATGAAATGTAGAATGCCAAAAGTAAATAAACTTGAACCTATGATTAAAAATTAATGTTCCCATATTTTAACTTCTTAGAAATAACTCATTTATGAATATCTATTGTTTAAGATTTCAAAAAATTTTAATTCTAAATGTTTATCCCATTTACACTTACATGATTTATTAATTCTTTATAATTATACTTAGCTTACTTGGAAAAACTGAGATACCTGACCAAGCTAGTCATCATTTTGAGCTATTTACCTGGTAGGGAAAGACCCTAAAGGTTAAATACATTTTTTTTTTTGTTTCACTGCTATGCTTGATATACAGGTAACAATGGCCACTGCACTTTTATCTGCAATCTTGTCATTAGTTCAAACTCATACGTTTATGATCTAAAATATGTAATGTAATCATCTGATGGGTTTTTTTCTGTCTTCTGCACAGACAAAATCAGTTTACTGACACTCTGGTACTGTAGTAGAGAGATAGTATAACTGTCACAAGGCCAGCCCACATGGGAGAACTACAGTTATCACTTAAATCAGTCTCTCCCAAGGCTTGGAGTTCATATTTTTTATTGACAATTTGGTGGGCAGGCGGGTAGGGGATGGTTGCTTCCTATTAGTTGGAGATGAAATCATAGGGGTGTGGAAAACAGCCCGAGGTGCTGAGTCCACCT
Organism: Homo sapiens; assembly: GCF_000001405.40. Lineage (NCBI taxonomy): Eukaryota > Metazoa > Chordata > Mammalia > Primates > Hominidae > Homo > Homo sapiens. The sequence goes on from NC_000003.12 coordinate 104,289,585, forward strand.
CTAGCTAGGGCCACAGGATTAGTTAAGTAATGGTTTATAAGCCCAGGTGGGGTTGGTCTCACAGATATTTTAAAACACCAATTTCAGGTTCTACAGTAGTGATGTTATCTATAGCAATTGAAGGAGTCACAAATCTTCTGACCTCTGGCCACATGACTCCTGAGCAGTAATGGATTATAGTAACTATATTTTAGCAGAGTTTGGCCCCTCCCATAATCATATTCTTGCTAATGAAGGTGGTTGTCAGTCCCTGTGCAAGGAGGAGGTTAGTTTTAGGGAGGAACTATTATCATGCTTGCTTTCAAGTTAAACTAAAAATTAAATTTCTTCTAAAGTTAAATTGACCTATGCCCAGAAATGATCAAGGACAGCTTGGAGGTCAGAAGCAAAATGACTGATTTATTTTATTGTCATAATTTTGCAAAGGTGGTTTCACTGACAGAAATAAAGATATCTGTCTGCATCATATTTAATGCTGAAAACTCTGAAAATATGCCTGCTTTACTTAAATTGATAATATTACATTGCCAGTTTTTTACTGAAGTCACATGAAATTGAAAGATATTTGAGTTAATTACTTTTTTGCTGATTACTTATTTAAATTTTTTTCTTTAAGGCAACTAAATAGAACTTTTCAAATGTGTTTTTGTAGAAAAAATACTATATACATATAACATAAACATATAAAAACATACAGACAACACAAATAAAGCTCATATGTTTTTCATTTTAACGTTTCAGTAATAAAACAGTAAAATATAGTAATATAAACTTACCAGTTTTAAAAGAACATTTGGATTTAAGCTATGCTTTAGATAAAATAAGACAAATCACCTGTAATCCCAGCACTTTGGGAGACTGAGATGGGCGGATCACTTGAGGTCAGTCCTGGCCAACATGGTGAAACCTCGTCTCTACTAAAAATAAAAAAATTAGTTGGGCGTGGTGATGGAAGCCTGTAATCCCAGCTACTCGGGAGGTCAAAGCATGAAAATCACTTGAACCTGGGAGGCAGAGATTGCAGTGAACCCAGATCACGCCACTGCACTCCAGCCTGGGTGGCAGAGGGAGACTCCAGCTCAAAAAAAAAAAAGAAAAAAGAATAGGACATGTTAAGGTTACCTTTTCAAATGGTTAAATTTTGAGATTTGTATTTGCCCTTGATAGGTAATCTTATGAAGACAATGGACCAAATTTATCGTGGAGAAGTAGATATTTTTTTCCTTTACTTTTCCCTCTCTTCTTTTAGTTTTAAATTAGTGTAGGGGTTAATTCCTTATATGTTTTTGTTTCACTACAATTCCATAAAAATATCTTTAAGCAGGCTTTGATGTCCATAACACCATATCTCTATTTATGTTTCAATTTGTAAGACAAGGACAATTGCAGCAGTAAGTTTTATCTTAACACATGTGAAAAAGTCAGCAGATTCAGAGTAAGCGAAGTAAAAACAGACTGAGAGAGGGTAGAAGTCTCTACATGCAAGCATTCCAGTCAAACTATTTAACCCCAGAGTTGTATTATTATTTTTTTAAATTCTAGCTATAAAAGAAACAAGCTTAGGGAGTTCAAATAGTCCTCATAATGGCCATCAGCTCTAAATTATCTTTGATGTAATGTTTCCATCGATTTAAAATGTGCACAAGAATAAGTCTTAATATTAGAACATACAACCAGCTTAAGTACTTGAAAGCCTGGCATGATTTAATAATTGAGAATCTCATTTCATTTCTTATTAATTCTTGAGAGAAAAAGAAAATTCTATAACTTTTATCAAAAAAATGAAGAGCTTGGGCAAAATGTTTTGCTTTGACTAGTGTACCTGGCACAGAATTATTTTTGTTTTGTTTTGTTTGTTTGCTTTAAGTAACGTGGCGTATAGCCTTTGCCCTAGTTGTCTGACCTGTGATCAAATTTTTCCTGTTGCATGGAAATTTTCTTGAGACTGGCAAGCAAATCTTGCTGGTCTGTGACCCCGTTCATCATCACATGAAAGACTTTGCTCTTTGAAGGCTGGAGTCCCTCCTACATGGTGGTGAATAGCCTAAGGACTTTTAATTGGTCAACCCATGCTCACCACTGGGTATGTTTATTTTTGCTCCCCAAAAAATGTTTAGAAAATAATCAGGGAAAATAAAGTAAAAGAGCCAAATCATTTACAGATGTGTATAAACAATCAGAAGTGAAACCAAAAGTAGAGTACTCACCAAAGTCTGAAACCAGACAGACAGATAAAACAAAATATTAAACCAGTATACAGGAAAAAGCAATCAAAAGTGAATTAACCAGAAAAGACATCTTCAAAAAAGAACATAGTTTCTATAGAAAGTACATGCAGCAGAAGGACAATGTCCTTATACCAGAAAGTCATGCTAGAAAAGACAAAAATGTGTTTGATAGTCTCAGAAGGGATGAAGTTTTCTTAACAAGGTAGCTTCATTCAAACCAGACACCAAATAAAGCCAGCAGGGAGCTGCTGCCACAGAGAGGGAGCTTTGTATAACTTGAGAGGAAGGCTCACCAGGAAAGAAAATGCTTGCTATGGAAACACAGAGCTAAAAATACTCCAGTCGGTACCGCACATGTTTCCAAGGGCTGCTATCTCTTCAAGGTGAGCTTGCTTTAGGTCCCATTGCTGTCACCAAATTATGTATACCTAAATAACAAACAGAGAGAGGCTCTCTAAAGATATTTAGTTTACTTGAGATTAGCAGGGCATTGCAATGCAGAATATACATGCCATGGTAGCCATGGACACATTTAGGAAGGCAAAGAAAGACAAGGGATTTTGAAGGCAAAATGAGAAAGATTGCATACATGTTTTAAAATAATAATTCTTGGCTACAAAGATTAATAACAAGAATAGCATCACTCTGACTTTGAACAGGCAGCAGATGTCCTAACAGAGAGATGGAGAGTGAGAGAGAGTGTGTGTGCGAACGCATGAGTGTGTGAGTGTGTTTGCAAGGTTGTGGTGGCCTTTTTTGCAATGCTATGGTTTTATGGCAGAGTGTCCTGTGATACTCGTAGTTATTAGACAAATATGCATGAGTGTCTTCCCTTCATGGCTTTCCCCAGCTTCATTTTGTCAGAGTTTGACACAAGTGACTCCATTTTGAATCTGACAGCTTTCACAACAAGACAGTAGAAACTGTGATATTTATTACCACTCAGAACATAAATTACAAGATAAGCTGATGAAGTACAGTGTATGTAGAATGTTAAACTCTAAATTTCCATTTGTTGGATTACACAATAAAGTTCTTAATAGAGAAGGGACCACACTCTCTGAGAAAATATGAAGCCATGGAAAAACATAATGGAACTGTCCTCTATTCCCTCATTATAGTTCCAGGCCATAAGTACCTGGGAAAAAAATTACAAAGATTTTTCATAAAGGCAAAGATTCCAGATGTTTAAAGACTTTGCGTGTGTGCGCGTGTGTGTGTATTTTTTTTTTTTTTTTTTTTTTTGAGACGGAGTCTTGCTCTGCATCCCAGGCTGGAATGCAATGCTGCGATCTTGGCTCACTGCAACCTCCATCTCCCAGGTTCAAGCGATTCTTCTGCTTCAGCCTTCCAAGTAGCTGGAATTACAGGTGCCTGCCACTGTGCCCAGCTAATTTTTTTTTTTTGCATTTTTTTAGTAGAGACGGGGTTTCCCCATGTTTGTCAGGCTGGTCTCAAACTCCTGTCCTCAGGTGATCCACCCACCTCAGCCTCCCAAAGTGCTGGGATTACAGGTGTGAGCCACTGCACCTGGCCTAGAGATACTTTCAAGTTAGAGGCTACCTCTGCTGAAATATGTCTTGTCAGATAATCTGAGTTTCAGATCCCTGTAACACAGAGCATCAGGCATTGAAGTGGTTCATTCTATTGATTCTGAAGTCAGAATGTTTATATTCAGATACTGCTCTGCCACATTGGTTCTCTAAATATTACTTCATCTCAGTGTGCTGATTTTTTCAACTATTAAATGGAAGTAATAATGGAACCCATTTTATAGAATTATTTGAAAAACTAACAAATAAAACATGCCAATACTTTGATCAGTGCCTGGCAAAGAGTAAATATTCAATAAATGCTATCTATTTTTTAAAAACAAAAAAACTATTCTGTTTTGTTTACAAGTGCTTGTATCTTTGAACCCAAATTAGAAGATTGTATGTCTCAAGTTTCTATAATCCTAAAATCAACACATCAAAACCCCATTCCATTGAGTTCTAATATTAGCCCCAAGATACTCTCTTTACCTTCACATTTTTTAAGACTTTCAATCCTACTTTAACATCAAGTCACAATCTTTCCATGAAAACTGCCTTTCAGCACATCTAATAGAAAAATAAAAATTATTTTCCTGTATTTCACATGGAGTAATGATAAGAGTAAGGGCTTTCAAATCAGATTGGTTTATGATTAAAACTCAACCCTGGAAGTGATGTGGTTTGGTTCTGTGTTCCCACCCAAATCTCACCCCAAATTGTAATCACCGTGTGTCGAGTAAGGTAGGTGACTGGATCATGAGGGTGGTTTCCCCATGCTGTTTCATTAGTGAGTGAGTTCTCATGAGAACTGATGGTTTTATAAGTGTTTGACAATTCCTCCTTCACATGCTCACTCTCTCACTCTCTCCTGCCACCTTGTGAAGAAGGTGTCTGTTTCCCCTGTTGCCATGATTGTAGGTTTTCTGAGGTCCTGAGGCCTCCCCAGCCATGTAGAACTGTGTCAACTGAACCTGTTTTGTTTAGAAATTAGCCAGTCTTGGATAATATCTTTATAGCAGTGTGAAAACTGAAAATATAGGAAGTTACTAGCTCTGTGACCCTGTGAGTTACTTAACTACTTTGCACCTCAGTTTCCACATTCATAAAACGCATTCTGTTTGAATTAAATGAGAAAAATACCTGGGAGATTAACTGATACAGATAACATGCTCAGCAAATAACTTTTATCGTAGCCTGATTGTTTCTCCATAAAACTGAAGGCTTTGTTCAGTCTTCATTAAAATATTCACAAGAAAATAAACAGATGTTAACTTTTTTCCTAAAGACCTCAGTATCTTTCCTTCAATAATATGGACCTGTTAGTTCCTAAAAAATTGTGTTGAACACTTTTTTCCATGGCTTTCTTCTCCCATGTAAAATTTGGTATTACATTTTTCTTTTAGATTCCATTCAAAGCGCAAAAATGCTTCTCTCTAATACTATCCATGTATATTTCATTCTCTGATATGACACCAGAATTTATTACTTTGCAGCTGATTCTCTAATCTAGACCACTAATTTAGACATTCTATAGACGTTTAAAGTCTGTATAGACATTCTATAGATGTCTTTAGACGTTTTATAAATGTCTGTAGTCTCTATAGACATTCTATAGAGACTCTAACACCATAATAAGTATCTCTGTTATCACAGTTTAGACTATGTTAATTCCCTTACCTATGAGTAACTTTTTTCATTTTATTTAATGTGCTTTTTCTTAGTTTGTTTTATAGCATCTTCCCTAAGATTCATCTTTCTCTTTATCACACATGGTTCCCTGAGATTAATATTCTAATTTCAGTTGATTCAAAATTCTGAAAGGTCAAATTACATATCCTGATATTTTTAAAAGTCACATAAGTTTACTCTTCTAACATCAACCACTACTCTTCTTTCTTTTTTCTTTTCCTTTTTCTTTCTTTTTTTTTTTTTTTTTCTTTGAGACACTGTCACCTATCTGGAGTGACACCCAGGCAAGAGTGCAGTGGTAAAGTGAACTGCTCAGTGAAGCCTAGACCTCCAGGCTCAAGTAATCTGTCTGCCTCAGCATCCAAAATAGCTGGGAATACAAGTAAACACCACCACACCCAAATATATATATTTTTTGTTTTGTTTTGTAGAGATGGTGGAGTGTCTAACTGCACTGCTCAGGCTGGTCTTGAACTTCTAGGCTCAAGTGATCCTCCCACCTCACCATCCCTAAGTGTTGGGATTACAGACATGAGTGATTGCGCCTGGCCACATTCTTCCTTTTTAACCCTAAAAATTTGTTTTTCTCTTACATTGCTTCTGCAGTCACAACAGATTGTTTGTTCCTTTTTTTTTTTTTTTGAACCAGGTTCTTGCTGTGTTGCCTAGGCTGGAGTGCAGTGGCGCAATCTTTGCTCACTGTAACTTTGACCTCCCAGGCTCAAGAGATCCTTCTGCCTCGGTCTCTCAAGAAGTTGAGACCATAGGCATACACTGCCACACAAGGTAATTTGTGTGTGTGTGTGTAATACAGGATCTCCCTTTGTTGCCCAGGCTGGTTTCAAGCTCCTGGGCTCAAGCAATCCTCCTGCCTTGACCTCCAAAAGTGCTGGGATTATAGAGGTGAGCCCCCATGCCCAGCCACAACATAATTTTACACTCCCTCATTTTTCAAAACATCTGTTTAGAAAATGAACTCAAAGATGAGATTGTTTTCACTTTTGAAATATTGTTTCCATTTCTTTTTCCTTCTAACTGTTTGAATCCAGTTATCAGTCATTTTTTTTCTGGGCTTTTCTTACTTCTCCATAAGATTATAAATCCCTTGAGGATAAAGTTTTAATTAATTTTTGAATTAATATCATGTAATGGAGAGAACACAGGCTTTGGAATTACACATACTTAAATTCAAACTCTAGCCCTATAACTTTCAAGTTTTAAAACTAGAGGTTACTTTTCCTGTTGGAATATTAGTTTCTTTCTAAAACAAAGATAGTGAGATGGAGCAGGCATCCCCTCTTAGGGGCCTGTGGGCTCCCAAGCAGGGAAATAAATGAAAATCTTGAGTTCCTTCAAGGGTAATTCCAGGCACCTAGCTAACCCTGAAAAGTAAATAAATTTGTTAAGCAAAAAGGTAATAGCTTAAAACAGTAGTCAAGGAGTCTAGAATCATGGGATGCTTGATTTCCCTATAGAAACTAAAAATAACATATTATCATATGCCACTGAGTTGTATCTCAGAAAGCTGGAGGCAAGTATACCTCAGATAAGGGGTAGCTAAGGTCTGAACTCTGACCACTGTTCTTTTTTCTATTTGTTTTTCTGAGGGGCCTGGAGAAACTCACACTCATGAGCCAGAGCTAACATTCTTTTCTGCTGAACCCAAATTTATAAGCAAAGTTTCTCTGCCTTAACCAACTTCAAATTAGAAAATCTTTGAATCTATGTATGACCTGGAAACCCTCACTTCAAGATATCCTGCCCATTAGGCCAAAATCAATGTGTAACCTCCACATATTGATTTATGATTTTGCCTGCAAACTACTTTCCTAAAATGTATCCCTGCCTTTAAAACCCTTACCTATAAGCCATTGAGGTTATAGAGACTTAAGCCTTAGTGCCTGATTCTCTTGGCTTGGTGCCCTGAAAAAAAAGCACCTTCACCTGCTGTAATCCTTGGTGTGGATATCTGGTCTTACTGTGTGGGTAAACCCCAGCTGGATTCGATAAGAATACTACAAGCCACCTCAGAATACAAGGGCACATAGAAAGTGATAACTAGATGTTCACTTGTTCTTTATCAACATTCCTTCCCATTATTAAAAATCCTGAATTATTTCATAATATGCCTTGAACGTAGTGAACACTCAATTAATTTTCATAACTGTAATAAAATATAAATGTATATATTTCATTTCAAGTAGTAAATATACCCTTAATATTTACTTAATGTTAATTATTTTAAATATATAGAATTCATTCAGATAACTCCAAAAATGCACAATAATTTCATCAGATGTTTATAATTTTCATTAGAAAACTACAAAAATTTCTGCTGGTATTTTAATTTTTCATATGCAAGAAAAGGTATTCCTGAAATGATATTAAAATACAATAGAAATTGGCTCAGGAATACTTTCAAGTAAATATATTTCTACTAAGGTTGTCAAAATGCTATATTTTTAAAACCCACAGCTATTTTCTAAAAATTATCACATTTCACATGAAATAATAATACTTCCAGAACATGTCTCTGCCCTGTCCATTTTTGTGCCAGTTAGTACAACAAAGCCTGCTTCTAGTGAATTGGCAAAGAATCAAATTTGTCTCACATTCAAATGGATGATAATTTTTCTCAGGTACAGGAATTATTTTTTGTAAATATACCCATGACCAAAATTGTGATTATAGAACATAAAAAACAGTCCAGAAGAAATGGAAACCTCTCTCTCTGACACACACACCACACACACACACATGCTTCTCAAAATCTCTATGACAAGATGACGCATAAAGAACTCATATCAAGTTTCAAGAAATAGGTATTTTCCAGACCTAATATACCTTCAAGGTACAGTGTATAGCAGGAATTTCTATCTGAGAACAAGATCTCATCAGTTTAATATGGAGAAAGGCACATTTGAATCATTTATACTAACTCCAGAGGAGAGAAATGAAAATTCTACCTCCAAAGAATTAGGAATCAGAAATTGTTTGTCTGGTTGCATAATTTTTTAATGATATTAAGTGTAGTATAACAAGCTTTAACATTGCAGTTAGCCCAATAAACTAGGAATGCTTGATTCATGCCCTACTTTATCAAATAAAATTGGATGACCACCATAAACAGATACTGTTTAATTAAATAGAAGAGAAGAATTACGCTCTTGAAAGGATAAAGGTGGCTGAAATAATAAAAGGAAGAACCTAACAGCCAGCTACAGTGGGGATAAGAAACAAGAAAACATTAATATATCTCTAGACCTACAGCATTGCCATCAGGATGATTTATCATCTTGCATTCTTGAGAGACTTCATTTAAAATTCAAATTTCCGTGAAAAGATAGAGTGAGAATCATCTTGTTTGGATCTTGTCTGCTTTCCCGTAACAGGTTGTCTTTTGCTTTTATTCTCATCTCTTGCCTTGAATGCATAAGGTGTGGGCTTTCTGATAATTCTTTAGTGAAAGAGTTTACAAATTTAAGCATGAGGAAACAACTTAACTTAGGGCATGGTCCTAGTTACGTTTCTTAGCTTAGTAGACTAAAGACTACAGTTCTGAGAATATATAAAATTGATTTAAAATAAGGAGTATATGGATTTCACAGTTATTGTCACCACTTTGCTTAGGGTTATTTAAAGAAACACAAAGGAAACAAAAATATTTAAAGATAAATTGGATTTTCCCTATGTAAGGAAAAAAATAAATGTTTTAAAAGTGACACAGGAAGGTTGCAAGTTGGACATATAGGCAACAGAAACTAAGCCTATGAATTAAAGCTAAACTTTCAATCTGCAAGCCTGGAGTCTGTCAAATATTTCACTGACGTGCTGATTACAACTTTGCCTATCAGGTGAAATGAAAGGCAGAATAGACTCAATCATCCCTCTTCAGAGCCTAAGATCCTAAATACTTATTAACCTTTTCCCCTATATATGTTAATCACATATTTGCTTTACCTTTGTATAGTATCATCGAACTCCACTCAGGATTATAAGAATGTCACCTTTGCTTCACTACCCTTTTCTCTCATTTTCTATGTAACAGCATGTGTGAATGCTTAGTCTTATGTAGCCCACTTTGAGACCCATTCTCAGTTTGTCCTGAGCCTGTATTTTTGAGCTAATAGTCCTCAAATTTGGCTCAGAATAAAACTAACTTTAAATTTTCTTATGTCATAGTGCTTGATATTTATACAATCAGTTGACACTCAGAATGAAGAAACATTTATAACAAAAAAACATGAAACTATAGAAAACTATGAAAAACACCCAGCAGGAGTATACATATGTACAAATATAAAAGAACATTGATTGTGTACAGCAACAATAACTGCATCATATATGGATTATAATATCTATAAATGTAAAATATATAACAATAGCTCAAACAGCAAAAGTAAGTGAGTAGAGTTAAAAGTATAATTGCCCAATTAGTTCTTCCTGTCCACTTTACAGATAAGACCAATTCACTGAGACGATGGTATTACAGTATTACATGGTATTGGTATTACAGTAAAGAAAGGGTTTAATTGACCTGAGTACAGCCACAAAGAAGATGGAGTTATTACTCAAATCAGGCCCCCTGAAGGCTCAGAGGTTAGGGGTCTCCAAGGAAAGTTTGGTTGGCAGGGGACTAGGGAATAGGTGCTACTGACTGATTGGTGGGAATGCAATCATAGGGGTTTGGAAAATGGTCCTCATGCACTCTCTGATTGGGAAGCCACAGGACAGGTTGAGTCATGAGTCACAAGTCTGGTGGGGTCAGTAAGTTGCCAGAATGCAAAAGTCTGAAGTATATCTCAAAAGACTAATCTTAGGTTCTACAATAGTGATGTTATCTATAGGAGCCATTGGGGAAGTCCCAAATCTTGTAGCCGCTGGCAACATGACTCCTAAGCAGTAAGGGTTTATAGAAACTAAGCCTACATCCTAGCAGAATTCAGGCCCCTCTCATAATTCTAATTTTGTGGCCTTTCATTAGTCTTACAAAGGCAGTTTTTGGTTTCTGAGCAAGGAAGAAGCTAGTTTTAGGGAGGGACTATTACCATTTCTGTTAAACTATTGGCTAAATTCTTCTCATGACTAGCTTGGCCTATGCCCAGAAATGAGTAAAGACAACCAACTTTTTAGGCTAGAAGCAAATGGAGTCAGCCATGTTGAATTTCTCTCTGCTAGGTATGCACCTCCCCCAAAAAAGGGAAATCAGCATATCAAGGAGATATCTGCACACCTGTGATTATTGCAGCAGTATTCACAACAGCCAAGATTTGGAAGCAACCTAAATGTCATCAACAGATGAATGGATAAATAAAATGTGATACATGTACACAATGCAGTACTATCCTGCCATAAAAAGGAATAAGATCCTGTTTTTTGCAACAACTTAGATGAAACTGGATGGAGGTCACTGTGTGTTAATAATGTAAATAAGCCAAGCACAGGAAAACAGACTGCATGTTCTCAGTTATTTGTGGGAATTAAAAATTAAAATAATTAAACTCACAGAGCTAGAGAGAAGAATGATGGTTACCAGAGGCTTGGAAGGGTAGTGGGCAATATTTCTATAAAAAAATAGAAAAAATAAATAAAATCTAGTATTTCATAGTACAGATGGGTGAGTATAGTCAATAATTTAATTGTGCACTTAGAAATAATGAAAAAATTATAATTTGATTGTAACACCAAGAATAAGTGCTTGAGATGATGGATATCTGATTTACATTTGTGTGATTATCATACATTGTATGCCTGTATCAAAACACCCCACATACCTCATAAATACATACTATGTACTCACAAAAATTTAAAATAAAAAAATCAATACTGACTTCACCTAATAGACATTTGCTTTTCTCTTTTATTGATTTATAATACTTTATACAATTATGGGGCACATTTGTATTTGTTACATGCCTACAATGTGTAATGGTCCAGTCAGAGTATATAGAGTATCTATTATCTGGAGTAATCATCATTTCTTAATGTTGGTAACATTTCAAGTCTTCTATTCTTGCTGTATCTCTTTCTTTCCCCCTTCCACCCTCATATACTTCCCAGTCTCTTGTATCTATTATTTTTTCTCTATCTCCATGAAAGCAAATTTTTCAGCTTCTGCATTAGAGTGAAATTTGTGATATTTGTCATTCTGTGTCTTGCTTATTTCTCTTGACATAATGACATCTACTTTCATCTAAGTTGCTGCAAATGACATGTTTTTTTTTAATGGCTGTGTGGTATTGTATTGTATACACAAGCCACATTTTTAAATTCATTTGTGCATTGAAGGACACAAATTGATTTTATGTCTTTGCTATTGTCAGTGGTACTGCAATAAAATGTTAGTGCAGGTATCCCTGTGATGTACTTATTTCTTGTCTTCTGGGTAACCACCAAGTAGTAGGGTTGTGGTATTTTATGGTAGTTCTATTTTTAGGGTTTTTTTTTCTTTTTTTTTTTAAATCTCTATAGTGTTTTCCTTAATAGTTATGCTAATTTACATTCCCATCCACAGTGTGTAAGAATTTCCTGTTCTCCACATCCTTGCCAGCATCTGTTGTTTTTTTGTTTTTTTAATAATAGCCATTCTATTAGGGGTATGATAATACTTATTGTTGTTTTGATTTGCATTTTTCTGATGACTGGTGATGCCAAGCATTTTATCATGTGCCTGTTGGCCATTCATTTGTCTTCCTTTGAGAAATGTCTATTCATGTTCTTTGCCCACTTTTATGTGATTATTTGTTTTTGTTTCTTTATCATTTAGTTATTTGACTTTCTTTTATATTCTGGATATTTGTCCCTTGTCAGATGAAAAGTTTGCAAATATTTTCTTTCATTTAATAGGTTGTGTCTTCACTCTGTGGATTGTGTTCCTTTCTTGTGCATAATTGTTTTTAGCTTAATGTAATCCCATTTGTCTATTTTTATTTTAGTTGTCTGTGCTTTTGATGTCATAGACATAATGTATTTGCCTAGACCCATGTCCCAAACTATTTTCCATATGTTTTCTTCTAGAAGTGATATAGTTTTAGATCTTACATTTGATTCTTTAATTCATCTTTAGTACGATATTTGTATACAGTGAGAGATAGGAATCCAAGTTCCTTTTTCCACATATAGATATCCAATCTCCCCAGCATCATTTATTGAAGAGGGTGTCCTCTTTAGAATATGTTTTTGGTGCCTTTGTTGAAAATCAGTTAGCTGTAAATATGTGGATTCATTTCTGGGTTCTCTATTCTGTTTGTTTGGTCTATGTATGTCTATTTTTATACTAACTATTTTGGGTTTTCTTAATTATAGCTTTGCAGTATATTTTGAAGTCATGTAGTGCAATGCTTTTAGTTTTGTCCTTTGTGCTCAGAACTGCTCTAACTATTCTGGATTTTTTTGGTTCCATAAAAGTTTCATACTTTTTTCTATTTCTGTGAAATATGACATTGATATTTTCATAGACAGTGCATTGAACTTGTAGATTGCTTTGGGTAGTATGTTCATCTAAACAATATTAATTCTTCTGATCCATAAGTATAGGATGTCTTTTCATTTGTTTGTGTATCTATAATTACTCTCATCTATGGTTTGCAGTTTTTCTTGTAAAGATATTTTACCTTCTTGATTAAATTTATGCCTAGAAATTTTACTTTATTTAAAGCGATTGTAAATAAAGTTGCTTTTTTGATTTTTCTTCTTAACTCCTTCATTACTGGTGTATAGAAATGCTACTGATTTTTGTATGCAGATTTTTGTATTCTGCAATTTTTTACTGAATTTATTACTCCCAAAGTTTTTTGTGTGTATTTTGGTTTTTCTAAATATAAAATTACGTTATCTGCAAAGAGGAATAATTTGACTTTGTCTTTTCCCTTTTGGATGCCATTTATTTTTTCCTCTTACCAGAATTGCTCTGGTTAGGATTTCCAGTACTATTTTGAAAGTGATGAAAGTGGGCATCCTTATCTTGTTCCAATTCTTAGAGGAAAGGATTTCAACTTTTCCCCATTCAGTATGATGTTGGTTGTGAGTTTATCATAAAAGTCCTTTATCATTTTGTCGGTATGTTCCATTTATGCCTAGTTTATTGAGAGGTTTTATCATGAAGGAATGTTGAATTTTATCAAACACTTTTTCTGCATCTATTGAGATAATCATATGACTTCTGTCCTTTATTCTGTTGATGTGATGTATTATGCTTATTAAAATGTGTTTGTTGAACCATCCTTGTATCCCTGGCATAAATACCATTTAATCATGCTGTATCATTTTGTTGATGTGCTACTGGATTTTGTTTACTAGTATTTTCTTGGGAATTTTTAAGTGTATGTTCATCAGAAATATTGACCTGTAGTTTTATTTTATTGTTCTGTGTTTGTTTGGTTTTGCTATCAGGCTAATGCTGGATTCATAGAATGAGACAGGGAGAATTCCCTCCACTTCAGTTTTTTGGAATGGTTCAAGGAGAATTAGTTAGTTCTTTGTAAATTTGATGGAATTTGGCAGTGAACCCATCTGGTCCTTGACTTTATTGGGAGACTTTTGTTACTGATTCAATATCATTACTCATTATTAGTCTGTTCAGATTTTCTGTTTCTTCCTGACTCAATCTTGGTAGGTTAACATGTCCAGGGATTTAGCTATTTACTCTAGGTCTTCCAGTTTGCAGTCTGTAATTTCTATATCCCTTGCTAGGAAGTTTTTATCTACTGTTTGGTTAAATAAATTTTCTAACTCTTTCATTCTCTTTTCATCTTCCAAGACCTCAATAATTCAAATATCTATTCACTTTATTGTTTCCCATATGTCACTATTTATTTTCTTATTATTTCGTATTCTTTTTTTATTTTTATCTGACTGTGTTGTTTCAAAATTTCTCAGATTCTTTCTTCCGCTCTATCTAGTATATTGTAGCTTTAAAATGCATTTTATATTTAATTCAATATATTCTTCAGTTTCAAAATCTTTGGTTCTGGGGATTCCCAGGCAAGATGGCTAAATACGAACAGATCCAGTCTGCAGCTCCCAGCGAGACCAATGTCGAAGGTGGGTGATTTCTGCATTTCCAACTGAGGTGCCCAGTTCAACTCAATGGGATGGGTTAGACAGTGGGTGTGGCCCATGGAGGGTGAGCAGAAGCAGAGTGGGGTGTCACCTCACCTGGGAGGCAGAAGGGGTTGGGAAACTCCCTCCCTTAGCCAAGGGAAGTCATGAGGGACCATGTCGTGAGGGATGGTGCTATTCAGCCCAGATACTATACTTTTTCCACAGTCTTTGCAACCCACAGACAAGGAGATTCCCTGGGGTGCCTACACCTCCAGGGACCTGGGTTTCAAGCACAAAACTGGGTGAGCATTTGGGAAGACACTGAGCTAGCTTCAGGAGGTTTTTTTCATACCCCATTGGTGCCTGGAACTCCAACAAGATAGAGCCATTTACATCCCTGGAAAGCAGGCTGAAGCCAGTGAGCCCAGTGGTCTTGCTCAGCAGATCCCATTCCCGTGGAGCTCAACAAGCTAAGATCCACTGGCTTGAAATTCTCACTGCCAGCACAGCAGTCTGCAGTTGACCTGGGTCACTCCAGCTTGGTAGGAAGAGGGGCATGCACCATTAATGAGGTTTTCCCCTCACAGTGTAAACAAAGCCACCATGAAGTTTGGACTGGGCGGAGCCCACCGCAGCTCCACAAAGCAGCTGTAGCCACATTGCCTCTCTAGATTCCTCTGCTCTGGGCAGGGTATCTCTGAAAAAAAGGCAGCATCTCCAGTTGGGGGCTTATAGATAAAACTCCCATCTCCTTGGGACAGAGCATCTGGGGGAAGGGGCAGCTGTGGGCGCAACTTCAGCAGACTTAAACATTTGGCCTGCCAGCTCTGAAGAGAGCAGCGGATCTCCCAGCACAGTGCTCAAGTTCTGCTAAGGGACAGACTGCCTTCTCAAGAGGGTCCCTGACGCCCATGCCTCATAATGGAGTGAGATCTCCCAGCAGAGGTTGATAGACACCTCATACAGGAGAGCTCCAGCTGGCATCTGGCAGGTGCCCTTCTGGGATGAAGCTTCCAGAAGAAAAAGCAGGTAGCAATCTTTGCTGCTCTGCAGCCTCCACTGGTGATACCCAGGCAAACATGGTCTGAAGTGGACCTCTGGCAAACTGCAGCAAACCTGCAGAAGAGGAGCCTGACTGTTAGAAGGAAAACTAGCAAACAGAAAGGAATGGCATCCACATCAACAAAAAGGACTACCATGCAAAAACCCCATCTGAAAGTCACCAACATCAAAGACAAAAGATAGGTAAATCCATGAAGATGAGGAAAAAGCAGCTAAAAAAGGCTGAAATTTTCAAAAACAAGAATGCCTCTTCTTCTCCAAAGGATCACAACTCCTCACCAGCAAGGGAACAAAACTGGATGGAGAATGAGTTTGATGAAGTGACAGAAGTAGGCTTCAGAAGGTGGGTAATAGCAAAATCCTCTGAGGTAAAGGAGCATGTTTTAACCCAATGCAAGGAAGCTAAGTTGATAAAAGGTTACAGGAACTACTAACTAGATTAACCAGTTTAGAGAAGAACATAAATGACCTGATGGAGCTGAAAAACACAGCATGAGAACTTTCGAAGCATATACAAGTATCAATAGCTGAATCAATCAAGAAAAAGAAAGGATATCAGAGATTGAAGATCAACTTAATGACATAAAGTGCGAAGACAAGATTAGAGAAAAAAAAAATGAAAAGGAATGAACAAAACCTCTAAGAAATATGGAACTATATGAAAAGACCAAATTTATGTTTGATTGGTGTATCTGAAAGTGATGGGGAGGATGGAACCAAGTTGGAAAACACACTTCAGGATATTATCCAGGAGAACTTCCCCAACCTAGGAAGACAGGGCAACATTCAAATTTGGGAAATACAGAGAACACCACAAAGATACCCCCTGAGAAGAGCAACCCCAAGACACATAATCGTCAGATTCACCAAGGTTTAAATAAAGGAAAAAATGTTGAGGGCAGCCAAAGATAAAGGTCGGACTACTCACAAAGGGAAGCCCATCAGACTAACAATGGACCTCTCTGTAGAAACCCTACAAGCCATAAGAGAGTGGAGGCCAATATTCAACATTCTTAGCAAAGAATTTTCAACACAGAATTTTATAACCATCCAAACTAAGCTTCATAAGTTAATGAGAAATAAAATCCGTTACAGACAAGCAACGGCTGAGGGATTTTGTTACCACCAGGCCTGCCCTGCAAAAGCTCCTGAAAGAAGCACTAAATATGGAAAGGAAAAATCAGTACCAGCCACTGCAAAAATGTACCAAAATATAAAGATCAATGACACTCTGAAGAAACTGCATCAACTAGTGTGCAAAATAACCAAATAGCATCATGATGAGAGGATCAAATTCACACATAACAATATGAGCCACAAATGTAAATGGGCTAAATGCCCCAGTTAAAAGACACAGACTGGTAAATTGGATAAAGAGTCATGACCCATCTGTGTGCTGTATTCAGGAGACACATCTCATGTGCAAAGACACACGTAGGCTCAAAATAGAGGTACGTATGAATATTTGCCAAGCAAATGGAAAGCAAAAAAGCAGGGGTTGCAATCCTAGTCTCTGACAAAGCAGAGTTTAAACCAACAAAGATCAAAAAAGGCAAAGAAGGGCATTACATAATAGTAAAGGGATCAATGCACCAAGAAGAACTAACTATCCTAAATATATACGCACCCACTACAGAAGCACCCAGATTCATAAAGCAAGTCCTTAGAGACCTACAAAGAGACTTAGATTCCCACACAATAATAGTGGGAGACTTTAACACTCCACTGTCAATATTGTACAGTACAACAAGACAGAAAATTAAGAAGGATATTCAGGACTTGAATTCAGCTCTGGACCAAGTGGATCTAATAGATATCTGCAGAACTCTCCACCCCAAATCAACAGAATATACATTCTTCTCAGCACCGCATTGCACTTAATCTAAAATTGATGACATAAATGGAAGTAAAACACTCCTCTGCAAATGCAAAAGAATGGAAAACATAACAAACAGTCTCTCACATTATAGTGCAATCAAATTAGAACTCAGGATTAAGAAATTCACTAAAAACTGCATAATACATGGCAAATGAACAACCTGTTATTAAGTGACTACTGCATAAAGAACAAAATTAAGTTAGAAATAAATAAGTTCTTTAAAACCAATGAGAACAAAGACACAACATATCAGAATCTCTGAGACACAGCTAAAGCAGTGTTTAGCGCTAAATTTTTGGCACTAAATGCCCACAGGAGAAAGTGGGAAAGATCTAAACTCAACACCCTAACATGACAATTAAAAGAACTAGAGAAGCAAGAGCAAACAAACAAATTCAAAAGCTAGCAGAAGACAAGAAATAACTAAGATCAGAGCAGAACAGAAGAAGACAGAGACATGAAAACCCTTCAAAATATCAATGAATCCAGGAGTCTTTTTTTTTTTTGAAAAAATAAAATACACAGACCACTAGCCAGACTAATAAAGAAGAAAAGAGAGAAGAATCAAATAGACACAATAAAAAAATGATAAAGAGGATATCACTACTGATCCCATGGAAAATACAAACTACCACCAGAGAATACTATAAACACCTCTACATAAATAAACTAGAAAATCTAGAAGAAATGGATAAATTCTGGACACATACACCCTCCCAAGATTAAACCAAGAAGAATTCAAATCCCTGAGTAGACCAATAACAAGCTCTGAAACCGAGGCAGTAATTAATAGCCTACCAACCAAAAAAAGCTCAGGACCAGATAAATTCACAGCCAAATTCTATCAGAGGTACGAAGAGGAGCTGGTACCATTACTTCTGGAACTATTTCAAACAATAGAAAAAGAGGGACTTTTCCCTAACTCATTTTATGAGGCCAGCATCATCCTGATACCAAAACCTGGTAGAGACACAACAACAAAAAAATAAAATTTCAGGCCAATATCCCTGATTAACATTGATGTGAAAATCCTCAACAAAATATTGGGAAACTGAATCCGGCAACACATTAAAAAGCTTATCCACCATGATCAAGTTGGCTGCATCCCCGGGACAAAAGGCTGGTTCGACATACACAAATCAATAAACATAATCCATCACATAAACAGAACCAATTACAAAAACCAATGATTATCCCAATAGATGCAGAAAAGGGCTTTGATAAAGTTTAATACCCTTTCAGGCTAAAAACTCTCAATAAAGTAGGTATTGATGGAATGTATCTCAAAATAATAAGCTATTCATGACAAACCCACAGCCAATATCATACTGAATGGGCAAAAGATGCAAGCATTCCCTTTGAAAACTGGCACAAAACAAAGCTGCCCTCTCCTATAACTCCTATTCAACATAGTTTTGGAAGTTCTGGCAAGGGCAGTCAGGCAAGAGAAAGAAATAAATATATTCAAATAGGAAGAGAGGAAGTCAAATTATCTCTTTTTGCAGAGGACATGATTGTATATTTAGAAAACCCGATCATCTCAGCCCAAAATCTCCTTAAGCTGATAAGCAACTTCAGCAAAGTCTCAGGATATCAATGTGCAAAAATCACAAGCATTCCTATACACCAATAATAGAAAAACCAAGAGCCAAATCATGAGTGAACTCCCAGTCACAATTGCTACAAAGAAAATAAAATACCTAGGAATGCAACTTACAGGGATGTGAAGGACCTCTCCAAGGAGAACTACAAACCACAGCTCAAGGAAATAAGAGAGGACACAAAGAAATGGAAAAACATACCATGCTTATGGATAGGAAGAATCAATATCTTGAAAATGGTCATACTGCCCAAAGTAATTTATAGGTTCAATGCTATTCCCATTAAGCTACCATTGACTTTCTTCACAGAATTAGAAAAAACTATTTCAAATTTCAGATGGAACCAAAAAAGAGCCCACATAGCCAAGACAATCCTAAGCAAAAACAAACAAACAAACAAACAAAAAAACAAAGCTGGAGGCATCATGCTACCTGACTTCAAACTATGCTACAAGGGTACAGTAACCAAAACAGCATGGCACTGGTACCAAAACAGATATATAGACCAATGGAACAGAAGAGAGTCCTCAGAAGTAACACCACACATCTGCAACCATCTGATCTTGGACAAACCTGACAAAAACAAGCAATGGGGAAAGGATTCCCTATTAAATAAATGGCGTTGCGAAAATTGGCCAGCCATATGCAGAAAACTGAAACTGGACCCATTCCTTACACCTTATACAGAAATTAACTCAAGATGGATTAAAGATTTAAATGTAAGACCTAAAACCATAAAATCTCTAGAAGAAAACCTAGGCAATACCATTCAGCACATAGGCATGGGCAAATACTTCATGACTGAAAAACCAAAAGCAATTGCAACAAAAGCTAAAATTGACAAATGGGATCTAATTAAACTAAAGAGTTTCTGCAGAGCAAAAGAGACTATCATTAGAGTTAACAGGACACCTACAGAATGGGAGAAAATTTTTAAAATCTATCCATCTGAGAAAGGGCTAATATTCAGAATCTACCAAGAACTTATACAAATTTACAAGAAAAAAACAAACAACTCCATCAAAAATTGGGCAAAGGACATGAAAAGACACTTCTCAAAAGAAGACATTTATGTGGCCAACAAATATATGAAAAAAAGCTCATCATCACTGATCATTAGAGAAATGCAAGTCAAAACCACAATGAGTTACCATCTCACACCAGTTAGAATGGCGATCATTAAAAAGTCAGGAAACAACAGATGCTGGAGAGGATGTGGAGAAATAAGAATGCTTTTACACTGTTGGTGGGAGTGTAAATTAGTTCAACCACTGTGGAAGACAGTGTGGCAATTCCTCAAGTATCTAGAACTAGAAATACCATTTGACCCAGCAATCCCATTTCTGAGTAGAAAACCAAAGGATTATAAATCATTCTAGCTTAAAGACACTTGCATACATATGTTTACTGCAGCACTATTCACAATAACGAAGACTTGGAACAAACCCAAATGTCCATCAATGATAGACTGGATAAAGAAAATGTGGCACATATACACCATGGAATACTATGCAACCATAAAAAGGATGACTTCCTGTCCTTTGCAGGGACATGGATGAAGCTGGAAACCATCATTCTCAGCAAACTAACACAGGAACAGAAAAACAAACACTGCATGTTCTCACTCATAAGTAGGAGTTGAGCAATGAGAGCACATGGACACATGAGGGGAACATCACACACTGGGGCCTGTCGGGGGTAAGGTGCAAGGGGAGGGATACCATTAGCAGAAATACCTAATGCGGATGACAGGTTGATGGGTGCAGCAAATCACCATGGCACGTGTATACCTACGTAACAAATCTGCACGTTCTGCACATATATCCCTGAACTTAAAGTATAATAAACAAATCTTTGGTTCTTTTTTATGATATCTGTCTCTTTGATAAATTTCTCATTAATATCCTGAATTGATGGCCTGTTTTGTTTTGAATTGTTTTTCAGAATTTTTTGGCATCTCTCTTAGCTAGTTTTGTATCAATATTTTAAATTATCTTTCTGAAATTTTGTAAATTGTTTTTGATCGGCATCTTTTGCAGAAGAATTATTGTATTCTTTTTAAGGTGTTATGTTTTCTTGCTTTTTTATGTTTCTGTGCCCTTACATTGATACCTGCACATCTGATGTTTTAGTCACTTTTTCCAATTTCTTAAACTTGCTTTTGTAGGAAAGAGTTTTTTCCTTATGATGTATCTATGGTATTGGTTGGAAAGGGCATTTTATCTTTGATTCTGTGTGGGTGAAGTAATGTAGTCTCTTTGACTCCTTCAGCTGTAAATAGTGTCAGCAGTATGCATGACTTCCTCAGTAGCTTAGGGTGCAATTGTTAGTTGTGGCAGTGGCAAAGTATTTTGGGGACTGGGATTCCAGGTAAGCCAGTCTTTGAGCCCCAGTAATGGTAATGATGAGCTGAGTATGCCTTTGCTTGGGACCCAGGATGGCATATTCAGGCACCTGAGTTAGCGAGTCCAGACAGGCTGATTCTTTGACCTCCAAGTGACTTAAATGCTTTTAGACTGGTAAGATGTGTGGGTTTGGGGGCCTTTGGGCAGCCAGTGTAATGTGGACAGTGGCAGTGGCAATGGTGGAACAACCATCTGGATCTTGAACGATACACTCTGGTATTAGCATTTCCTGCAATAAGCTGAGCAGGCCAGTCTCCAAGCCCACAGGCAGTGCATGCAAGTAGATGCCAGCTGTGGTGGTAGTAGCAGGGTAGGTAGGCCCATCCTTAGTCCCCAAAGAGAAGGGTTCAGATTCCAATGATATTGGACTGGACCGAGCAATCTCTTGGCCCCTGGACTGTGTGCTCTGGCCCAGGGTGGCATGGGCAAAACCAGGCCAGATGGGTTTGTTCTCAGGTCCCCTGATACTGTGTGCAGGGAAAGGCCATAGTAGGCAGGTGAGTGGCAATCCCCAGGCCACTGGCAGACTGCTTGAGTTGGGGGCAGCCTGCTGCTGGCAAAGGTAGGGTGACTTTCTTAGGCCAGCAGGTGGGAAACACATGTTCCTCT